>NC_000007.14:62326104-62456779 GCF_000001405.40 Homo sapiens
TGCTTCTTTCTTGACTGCTTGTATACATGTATATTCCTTTAAATGAATCTTGGAATTTATTTAAAAATTTTAAATTATACTAATGAAACTGTATATTGTTGTGAATTCATAAGTGAATTTGGAAAGGATTTGTCTTTATGATACTAAATCTTTTTTATCCAAGAATCATATGGGTCTTTGTATTTATTCCAGTCTATATTTATATCACTAAGTATATAGAAATGTAGATACATACAGCTGTAGTTATAGATACAAATACAGATATAACATGTTAAATCTATATCTATCCCATATAACATATATTCCTGTTATATGTGTGTGTGTATATATACATATGATTATGTTATTAAAGAGCTCCCTTAAAATTTTTCTTTTAATTCCCATATAATTTTAGGTCGAGCTTGAATTTTCCTTGTATAAACAAGCAAATATTTATACTAGTTTTAATACTGATGTTTAGACATTGTATCTTATTTTAGCATTGAATATTTTCACAATTACTATAAATATTATCTAATAAAAATGTACCAGTTAAAACTATTTAAAATTTTACCTTTGAATTATTTTATTGTTGAATTAAAATTCCTTTAATATGATAGTAAATTTCTATGTTATGCTTTCTCTATGCATATGCAAATTAATCTATCCACTTCTCTATCTCTTTGTAGTGTCACGAAAATCAGGCCTCTCTTCTTCTAATGGACATACACATGTTTCCATATAGTATATCAGACCCTTTATAACATTTAAAATCTTTAAAGACATGAATATAACCTTTTGACAAATATATTTTAGCATGTACTGAGTATCCCCTATTTATTTTTAATTTGGGCTAATCAATATGATTAGTAATATTATTGGATTACCAAATTTTGAAACACACTTTCATCCCCAAGGTGGATATTTGTTTTATTTTTTTTTTGGCAATTTCTTGTCTTACTGTTTCAAATATTGTTGGATATTATTTATATTTTATTTAGCATTTTAGTATCAACATTTGTAATTCAGGTACACTACATATTTTTTCTTCAATATCTGGAGGGTTTTATAATTACTGCTATATTGGATTTGTAGTAGACATTGACAAAAATTATTCCTGTATGTTTTATAGCTGTATGAGGAAAACTAATATATTTTACCCCTAAATATATTTCCTTGATATATTTCAAAATGGCTATTGAGAAGGGCTGGAAATGCAAAGTTAGCTGCAAAGTTGTCTTGGGGAGATTTTTATCGGTATAGAATCAGCTTTGATGCAGCCAGGCTTTCTATGAGGTCTGCCCCCTTGTCTGGATCTAGGAAAGTTTAACTGAGAGTCTGAGGTCTCCAAAGGTCTGAAAGAAACATTTTCTGTCTATTCTCTCTGAGGACTGCTCCCAGTGAGGTTCCACCTATGTAATAAGCCCACTGTTGCTAGCCAGGGTCGTTTCCTCACATAACCTTCCTCTTTTTTTCCCTGTGATCCAAGACCCCATTCTTTCTGTAAACTTCATGTGGTAGATAAGCTTCTGCACGCATCGTGTGTCTGGGTCTTCGTTCTAAGGGCTCCAGTGTACACACATTGCAGAAACCTGTATGCCTTTTCTACTATTTATCTGCCTCCTATTAGTGATTTTCAGGGAAACTTCAGAAGGCAAAAGGGACATTCTCCTTTAGACCATTCTCAGACAAAATCCCCCAACATTTAACTGATTCCTAACAGTTTAAAATCACTTTGAAAAATCCATATATTTATAATGTTTTCTTCCCTCTATGATTTCTGGTCAGCTTGGGTTTTGTTTTTCATTCCGTTTTCTTCATCCTCGAAAAGATCTATTTTATGTCTATTTATTCTCATTTATGGACATTGAGAAAAGAAAATAACTTTCATGTGAGAAATGCAAGTCCTTTTAAATAATCAGGCCCAGAGAGATATTCAAATGAGACAGCAGTTCTGTCCTGCTCCTCTTTGAGCTGTGTGTTCATCTAGGCTGCTTGCTGTTGCCACAGTAGCTATAAATTAACCAATAACGCCACACTAGACACTATAACCCACACCCAATAATAGTGTAACAGTGTATAGCCAGTCACTAATAAATGTTATTTCCATAAGCCAATGAGAATTTGTGACAAACCTCTTTGCATCATCCCACTTCTGGAACCATTTTTGCCTTTAAGAAACTGCTTGTTGCAAAGCTCCAAAGGGAGTTCATATCCAAGGATACTTGGGTCTGTTTCTTCCAGGCAGCTGTCCTCATTGTGGCTCACGTAATCTCTTTGAATTACGTTTTGTTCTTCAGCCCATTCCACTTAGATTAACAACATGGATTTGTGTCACCATGTGCAGCAATTAAAATGTTTACACTTTTCCCCTCGAGGGCACTGATGTGTTTTCCTGAGCACTTGGAATAGCTACGTAGTGTTTCCTGTCTAGATTATGGTTTCTCAACCTTGGTGCTACTTACCTTTAGGACCAGAGGATTCTTTGTTGTGGGAGGCTGCCCTAGCAATGCTAGGTGTTTCGATTGACCTCTAAATTTCACACCTCCACCAGTCTTGACATCCCCACAATAACCCTAGACATTGACAAATATCTCCTGGGGACAACTCTACACAAGTTGACAGGCAATGTTCTGGAAATATTGGAATTGTCAATTGAGATTTTATGTTATCCCAAACAAATATTTTTCTTTGTTTTTAAACATCTACTTCCATCTACTTATCTACTTATTTTTACTTTTATTTTTACCTTAATTCCATCAAGGAGACAGAGTGCATTTTCTGTTATGCTAAATTTTTGAAGAATGTGTTGATTTTTTATGACCTGATATATGGATGATATGTAGCTATTACATGTTTGTATTATCAAATTTCAGGGTGGTAATAAAATAAATATTTATAATATTTATATTGTCACTGTATATTAGTTATTTTCTTTCTTCACTACAGGAGTTTTTGAACCTATAGGCTATTTTTCACTTCTAGGTTATCCAGTAGATTTTGAAATGTTTTTTTTTTTATTATACTTTAAGTTTTAGGGTACATGTGCACATTGTGCAGGTTAGTTACATATGTATACATGTGCCATGCTGGTGCGCTGCACCCACTAACCTGTCATCTAGCATTAGGTATATCTCCCAATGCTATCCCTCCCCCCTCCCCCGACCCCACCACAGTCCCCGAGTG
Organism: Homo sapiens; assembly: GCF_000001405.40. Classification (NCBI taxonomy): domain Eukaryota; kingdom Metazoa; phylum Chordata; class Mammalia; order Primates; family Hominidae; genus Homo; species Homo sapiens. Next base: position 62,329,270 of record NC_000007.14, read on the forward strand.
TGATATTCCCCTTCCTGTGTCCATGTGATCTCATTGTTCAATTCCCACCTATGAGTGAGAATATGCCGTGTTTGGTTTTTTGTTCTTGCGATAGTTTACTGAGAATGATAGTTTCCAATTTCATCCATGTCCCTACAAAGGACATGAACTCATCATTTTTTATGGCTGCATAGTATTCCATGGTGTATATGTGCCACATTTTCTTATGATTAAATATCTACTTCTCAAGCATTCATCTTTGCAAATGAAACAATCCCAAGCTCTTATAATGCACATCATATAAAGGGCAGATTAGACAATATATGGTTCAGAAATAATTATGTAATATTTATAGGAAAATTAAAAATTTAGATCCTTAACTCAGATAACAATAATCCAAATTAAAATTTGATTTCATTACATAATTTAAAATGACACCAGAATACTAGTAAAAGTGTAGATAAGTTTATATGATCTTTTTTAGCTGTAGGACTTTATTAGCATAAATTGAAATGCAGGATCCAAAGTAAGATTGAGACCTATAGTCAAAGGTTAAAATGTACACATTATAGGGGCATGATTCAACTAATTTAAAGCATAATAAATGGAGAAATATTGCAAAACATACATTTTACTGAATTAATTGTTAATATCTAATCATTATGTGAGAACAAAATGAAAGAGTAGCTACACAGGCACACACCCACACACAACTGCAATATTGTCAAATAAACGATGTTCAGCTACACTAGAAATCACACCTGTGTTTTCTCCACAGAAGAGCAAAGGTTAAAAATCACAATATTATTTATTGTACATATGGAGGCAAAGATACTCAAAATATTACCCAAAAATGCCTTTTTTTTGAGATGGAGTTTTGCTTTTATTGCCCAGGCTAGAGTGCAATGGCACAATCTTGGCTCACTGCAACCTCAGCCTCCCAGGGTCAACTAATTCTCCTAGCTCAGCATCCCAAGTAGCTTAGATTACAATCATGAACCACCACACTCGGCTAATTTTTGTATTTAGTGGAGATGGGGTTTCACCATGTAGGTCAGGCTGGTCTCCAACTCCTGACTTCAGGTGATCTACCCACTTCAGCCTCCCAAAGTGTTGGGATTACAGGTGTGCGCCTGGCCAGCTTTTTGACATATTTCAAGATGGCTACTCGGAAGACTGGAGATAGCTTCTTCTACAAAAATAGCTGAAAAGCTGTGTTTGTTGGGGAGATTTGTATTTGTAGAGAAAATCTGCATTGATATAGACAGGCTTTCCCTGGGATACTCCCTTGTCTGGGTTTAGGAAAGATTAACTAAGTCTGGCACGTTTATATTTCTATAAACCATTTCCTATCTATACTTCCCAAGAGGAGGGCTGCTCCCTGTGAGATTTCACCCATGTAACAAGACCACCTCTGCTGCCAGGCTCCTCTTTCTTCCTTGTCGTCACCTCTCTTCTGCAAAGCCCGATTTACCAACCTGCAGCTCTGTGTTTTCTGTAACCACAAGACAGCATAGGCGTGTTGACTACCTTGCCTTTCCTGGAGTTTTTATATATATAGTATATATTTGTATATCTGTTATTAATATACAAATATTTGTATGGATATATTATATATATTATGTAAACTCCAAGTGCATACTTGTGCACATATCTGTAAACCTTTCTTTCCTGTTAATTTGTACATTATCAATTTATTTTATAGACTCAAATAATTAAAGCTTCAAGGGAAAAGTTTAAACTTTCCTATAGAGAAAAGACAAATATATAGGTGACAAATAATATTTAGAGTGTAAGACGCTTTTTAAATGTATATTTGCAATTTGTGTCATAACACTTAAGTATACATTTGTTACTTTAACTATAAAATTTCAAATACTTTAAGCCAAATACATAGTATATGCAGAAAATTAGCAATATATCTATGTAGCACCTTACTGTGAGTTACTGTAACCAACCCTCTAACATAAAGAAGTAATTAAGGTAGCACCTACTTTTCAAATATAGCATTTTTTTCTCAGACCTATTAAATAAGACAAATAACATTTAAACTTTATTTTTAAATTTGCAGAATAGTAGTTTTCAGCAGATGGTTTATTTTAGCAAATTCCATCTTTATGTTGTGCTATGCTTTTATGAGTTCCAGCTGTTAACGGATATTTTACTGCTGAAACTATCATGTGTGATATAATTGCTCATTATGTGCCTTAAAACACAAGCAATAAAATTATTTTTAACTTGGAGCAAATTAAAATCTTATCAGCAATTTAAAAACTCTAGAGTCGTCTTCTTCTGGTTAATTATTTTAAACTTGTATTTTTCTCTTTATGTTTTTAGTGAGTTGTCTTATCAAGGAGAAGAACTCAAGCTGATTATTCTTTTTTTTTCTCTTCCATCCACCTCGCAGGTGTGTTAATAATTTCATTTCTCAGAAAATGTTCTTTCATATCCATCTTACAAGGTGAGAGACCTTTCAATATCTTCCATTCCGATGTCATACGAGTAATGGAACATATTCCAGCTTCATGAATATGGTGATACAAATAGTTATGCGTCTAACCTCTTTCAGTGCCAAATGTTTACTTTACTCAGTGAATTACTCAGTTGACTGGTAATTTCTTCTGAAATCACTAATGAGAGGATCAGAGGTCTGGCTGTGGTCTGTACCTCATGTGAATCCCATTGCAGACAATTGTTTCTATGGAGCACAGACAGTTGAAAGGATTGAATTCCTGCCTAGAATAGTGTCTGCTCTGCTTCTTATCCTTCTTGTGGAGATTTCAGATTATCTGAATTGCTTTTCTATCTTAAGAAAAAACGCAACAATTCTCCCTCCTGAGGGGAATGTAAACTGTAGTAAGTTAGCAGAACCAATACATAAAGTTTTCACATTGCTTGTTGCAAAATGCAGCACTGGTGTCTCCATTGCTAACCTTTTCTATGCCTCATTGTTCTTTCTTTGACTGCAATAGGATACCTCTAGGCAAATCTGTATTCCCGAGACAGAGTGCCCTTTTGGTGAACTATAAGCACACTCAATGGTAGGCTGAAATACTAGCTTTTATCTATGACAAAATGGAATCATGTCAGTGATTTTTTTTTAAAAAGGAAATGTAACACTTGCTATGGTTTGAATGCTTGCCCCTTCCAATCTCATGTTAAAATTTTATCCCCAATGTTGCAGGTGGGGCTCACTGGGAGGTGTTTGTTCATGGGGGGTTGGACCTTCATGAATGGATAATACCCTCCCTTAGGAATCTAAAGCTATCCTCCCTCCTCGGTGCCCTCAGGAATGAGTGTACCATTCTTTATTCACCTATAATTCCCCCACCCATCCTTTTTGAGATATTGATTGCATGTATGTTACACTGCTGCATATTGTCTGATGTATCAGTGAGTTTCTGGCTTTCTTATTTTAGTTTACCATTTGTCCTTTAGTTTGTAAAGCTTCTATTTTGTTCTATAAATTTTCTGATGTTAGGGTAAAATCCATTACTTATTCTATCTCATGGAATTTTTATTTCAAATATTTATTTTTCATCTATATATGTCACATTTTTCATTTTATAACTTCTATTTTTCTCCTATGTTCAATTTTCATTTAAGTACCTTGACATATATATGTATTTATCTATATGTATTTATAAAATATATTTACTTTAAGGACCTTGAAATTTCCTTCTTCTCTGTCATTTATAAATGACTTATTTTTATTCTGTTAATATATGTCTTAATTATATTTATCTTACAGCTTCTTTGCATGTCAGAGTTTTTTTGGGGGGTATTTTGGTGTTATGCTATTGAATATCTAGATTTGATTGGCTACCTTTGAACAATGTTGTGGCAGGCAGTTCAGTAACTTCAGGATGAGTATTTGTCTGTTGTTGTTTTAAATCTTCTCTTTAAACTTTGTCGAGTTAGTCTAGAGCCATCTGTAATTTGGAGCTACATGAGCACTGTCACTAGGGCATGAACCTCCAGTGGTCTTTTCTGAATATCCTGGAGGTACAGAGGGGATTCCCTTCTCTGGCTGGTCAGAGCTAATGTGTCTTCCTGTCATGTGATGCCAGGGAAATGTTCTTCTTCCAACTCCCTGGTACAGTCCTTTGCTCAGCTCCTTAGAATTTCATCCTATGTACATTTGGCTTAGGGACTTGGGAGAATCCTTAGGCTGATTCTTGGTTCCTTTTTCTGTAAACGTTCTCTTCTACTACACATTCCAGCTGCTTAACCTTTTTTGATTTTTATCGGGTTCCTCAGTGCAATGACAATGTCTGTTCTCTCTGGGATTCCTCTCTACTGCTGTCTCGGAGAATCTGGGAATAAAGCAGGACTCATTCTGGCTCCTTCTCTTCTCTTGCAGAGCACAGTACTGTGCTGCCTGCTGTTCAGTACTTCAAAAAAATGTTTCATATACTTTGTCCAGTTTACTATTCTTTAACTCTAAAAGCGCAACTCCAGTCCCAGTTACAGCATCATGTTCTGTAGCTCTACTCCTTGTTGCTTCATTCTGCCATTGTCTGGTATGATCTCCCCTTTCCCTTCTGTAATCAGGCCAAGAGCATAATATAATACTAGTTATAACTGCACAGGTTGCCTCCGTTGTGTAAAAAAAATCACTGAGACTTAACTGTGTCCAACTTTAAAATGTGAATTTAAGTACAACTAAAGCTATATTTTGGTTAATATTTGCATTGTATGCTTTTCCATTATTTACTTTCAACATATGTGAAATATGAATATAAAATAAAAACTTTAAGAGAGTCCATTTAAATATCTGGTCTGGTTATGTTTTACCTGGTTTAATACAACATGCATTCTTGAATTCAGGGTCTAATATAATTGGTACATCTGTCTATTTCCAAAAAAAAAACAACAATATTTTAAAATTAATTTATCCAACTCACAGATAGGATTCTGTTATACAGTCAATATCCAATTAAATTTCTCTCTATGTTTGTTTCTTTCATTAAAAAATTGTTCTTCTAACTGCAAATTTTCATCAGGGATCATGGCCCTTCTAACTGAAGAATAATCTTTAGTATTTCTTTTCCTGTGGGTCTGCTTGGGAGGAATTCTTTATTGTATCTTTGTTTTGATGGATATGTCCACCAAGTAGACAGTTCTATGTCAGCACTTATTTTATTTCAGGACTTGAAAGATATCAATACCTCACTTGTTGGCTTTCGTTGTTTCATTTGAGAAAGTTGTTATCAGTCAACTCTTTCTCTTTGTAGTTAGCCCAATTTTTTTTATCAGGTGCTCTTTACATTTTTCTTTTACTTTCCAGAAATTGTCCCATTATGTTTCTAGATGTGTCCTCTGTGTGTGCTTTCCTTTGCTTGGAAAATCCTCCTGAACCTGTCGTTTAATATTATTGGTCAATTTTGTTAAAACCTCTAACATTGCCACTTAAAATGCTGTTCAGACAAGCTGTTTTCTCCTTCTTAGATTTCAACGTGTTATATTATTACTCTATCCTTCATATTTTTTAAATGACCTTTCTCTACAATTTTTTTTTTACTTGGTTAATCTGTATTAGTGTATGTTTTGTTATTTTATTCTATTTTATTTTATTATTATACCTTAAGTTTTAGGATACATGTGCACCATGTGCAGGTTTGTAACATAAGTGTTCATGTGCCATGTTGGTGTGCTGCACCCATTAACTCGTCATTTAGCATTAGGTATATCTCTTAATGCTATCCCTCCCCACTCATCCCACCCCACAACAGTCCCCAAAGTGTGATGTTCCCCTTCCTGTGTCCATGTGTTCTCATTGTTCAATACCCACCTATGAATGATAACATGTGGTTATCACAATGAACAGAGAGTAAAATATATTGCAAACATACAGATAGACCAAATAAGAAACTGGGTTTTGAACCAAAAATACATTTAAAATTAGTTAAGCACTGCAATATGTATGATAAAAAGAAAATTATTAGGGCTGAAGTATTCAAGGAACCCTTAATTGACTGACAAGAGCAGAAAAGTGAGTATGACTTTGCAACTCTTTTTCTTTTTCGAATGGAATGGAATGGAATGCAATGGAATAGAATGGAATGGAAGGGAATAGAATGGAATGGAATGGAATCGAATCGAATGGAACTGAATGGAGAGGAATGGAATGGAATGAGAGATGAGATTGTGCCATTGCACTACAGGATGGGTGACAGAGAGAGACACTCTTGAAAGAAAGGAATGGAATGGAAAGCAGTGGAATAGAATGGAATGGAAAGCAATGGAGTGGAGTGTAGAGGAGAGGAGTGGAATGGAGTGGAATGGAATCGGATTGAATGGAATGTAGTGGAATGGAGTGTCATGGAATGGAATAGAATGGAATTATCATCTAATGGAATCAAACAAAATCATCATTGAATGGAAAAGAATGGAGTCCTCATCGAATGGAATCAAATGGAGTCATCATCGAATGGAATCAAAAGGCATCATCATCCAATGGACTTGAAAGGAATCATCATCAAATGGACTCGAAAGGAATCATTGAATGGAATCAAATGGAATCATCATTGAATGAAATTGAATGGAATCATCATCAACTGGAATGGAATGGAATCATCATCGAATGGAATAGAATGGAATTATCATCGAATGGAATCAAACGGAATCATCATCGAATGCAATTGAATGGAGTCATCATCGAATGGAATCAAAATGCATCATCATCCAATGGACTTGAATGGAAGCATCATCAAATGGACTGGAAAGGAGTCATCATCGAATGGAATCAAATGGAATCATCATCAAATGGAAGCGAATGGAATCATCATCGAATGGAATCAAATGGAATCATCATCGAATGGAATCGAATGGAATCATCAAATGGAATCGAATGTAACCATCATCAAGTGGAATCAAACGGAATCATCATCGAATGGAATCGAATGGAATCATCATCAAATGGAATCGAATGTAACCATCATCAAATGTAATCGAATGGAATCATCGAATGGAATCTAAAGGAATCATCATCAAATGGAACTGAATGGAATCATCATTAAACGGAACTGAATGGAGTAATCTTCAAATGGAATCAAATGGACTCTTGATCGAATGGAATCGAATGGAATCATCATTGAATGGAATCGAATGGAATCATCATCGAATGGAATCAAACAGAATCATCGAATTGAATCAAATGGAAAGATCATCGAATGGAATCGAAGGGAATCATCGAATGGGATGAAACGGAATCATCGAAGGGAATCAAATGGAATCATCGAATATATTCGGATGGAATCATCAGCGAATGGAATTGAATGGAATCATGGAATGGATTCGAATGGAATCATCATTAAATGGAAACCAATGGAATCATCGAATGAACACGAATGGAATCATCATTGAATGGAATCGAATGGAATCATTGAATGGCATGTAATAGAATCATTATTGAATGGAATCTAATGGAATCATTGAACGGACTCGAATGGAATAATCAAATGAGCTTGAGTGGAATCATCATCGAATGGAATCGAATGGAATCATTGAATGGACTCGAATGGAATCATCATCAAATGGAAGCGAATGGAATCATCATCAAATTGAATCAAATGGAATCATCATCGAATGGAATCATCATCAAATGGAATCACCAAATTGAATCAAATGGAATGATCATCGAAGGCAATAGAAGGGAAACCTCGAATGGGATTGAACGGAGTCATTGAATGGAATCGAGGGGAATCATCGAATGGATTCAAATGGAATTATCATCAAATGGAATCAAATGGAATCATCGAATGGACACAAATGGAATCATCATCAAATGGGATTGAATGGAATCATCAAATGGACACGAATGGAATCACCATTGAATGGAAACGAAAGGAATCATTGAATGGCATCGAATGGAATCATCATCGAATAGATTCAAATGGAAAAATCGAATGTACTCGAATGGAAACATCGAATGGACTCGAGAGTAATCATCATCGAATGGAATCGAATAGTATCATCAAATGGACTCGAATGGAATCCTCATCAAATTGAATCAAATGGAATCACTGAATGGAGTTGAAGGGAATCATCACGGAATGGAATCGAATGGAATCATCGAATGGAGTCGAATGGAATCATCAGGAAGTGGAATTGAATGGAATCACCGAATAGCATCGAATGGCATCATCATCAAATGGAGTCGAATGGAATCATCATTCACTGGAATCAAATGGAATCTTTGAATGGACCCGAATGGAATCATCATCGAATGCAAACGAATGGAATCATCATCGAATGGAATCGAATGGAATCATCATCGAATGGAATCACATGGAATCATCAAATGGAAAAGAATTGAATAATCATAGAAAGGAATTGAATAGAATCATCGAATGAAATCGAATGGAATCATCATCAAATGGAATCGAATGGAGTCATCATCGAATGCAATTGAATGGAATCGTCATCGAATGGAATCGAATGGAACCATCAACGAATGGAATTCAAAGGAATCATCATCGAATGGAACCAAATAATATCATCAAATGGACTTGAATGGAATCATCGAATGGACTCGAAAGGAATCGTCATCGAATGGAATTGAATGGAATCATCGAACAGAATTGAATCAAATCATCATCGAATGAAATCAAAAGGAATCATGGAATGAACTCAAAGGGAATCATCGAATGCACTCAAAAGGAATCAACATCAAGTGGAATCAAATGGAGTCAAATGGAATCATCAAACGGACTGAAATGGAATCTTTGAATGGAACCGAAAGGAATCATCATCAAATGGAACCGAAAGGAGTCATCATCGAATTGAATCGCATGGAATCATCATCGAATGGACTTGAATGGAATCATCATCGAATGGAACCGAAAGGAGTCATCAACGAATGGACGCGAATGTAATCATCATTGAAAAGACTCGAATGGAATCATCATCGAATGGGTTCGAATGGAATCATCATTGAATGGAATCCAATGAAATCATCGAGTGGACTCGAATGGAATCATCATCAACTGGAATTGAATGGAATCATCGAATGGACTTGAATGGAATCATCGGAGAATGGAATCGAATGGAATTATCGAATGGACTTGAATGAAATTAACTTTGAATGGAATCGAAGGGAATCATCAAATGGAATCGAATGCAATCATCATCGAATGGAATCGAATGGAATCATGGAATGGAATCGAATGGAATCACCATTGAATGGACTAAAAAGGAATCATAATTGAATGGAATCGAATGGAATAATCGAATGGACTCGAATGGAATCATCATCGATTGGAATCAAATGGAATCATTGAATGGAATCGAAAGGAATCATCGTCAAATGTAATCAACTGGAAACACTGAATGGATTCGAATGGAATCATCATCGAAAATAATCGAATAGTATAATCGAATGGAATGGAATGCAATCAACATCGAATGGAATCGAATGGAATCATAGAATGATATTAAATGGAATCATCATTGAATGGAGTCAAAGGGAATCATCATCGAATGCAATGGAAAGCAATCACTGAATGGACTTGAATAGAATCATCAAATGGATTTGAAGGGAATCCTCATCGAATGGAATAGAATGGAACCATTGAATGGACTTGAATGGAATAATCATCGAATGGAATCAAACGGAATCATCACATGGACTCGAATGGAATCATCATCAAATGGGATCATAATCAAATGGAATCAAATGGAATCATCGAATGGACACGAAAGGAATGAACAAATGGACTCGAATGGAAACATCAAATAGAATCGAATGGAATCATTGAAAGGAATCAAATGGAATTATCGAATGGACTCGAATGGAATCATCGAATGGACACGAATGGAATTATCATCAAATGGAATCGAATGGATTCATCAAATGGAGTCGAGTGGAATCATTGAATGGACTCGAATGGAATCATCAAATGGACTCCAATGGAATCATCATCAAATGGAATCGAATGGAATCATCAAATGGACTCGAATGGAATCATCAAATGGAATCAAACCGAATCATGATCGAATGGAATTGAATGGAATCATCTAATGGACCCGAATGGAATCATCTTTGAATGGAATAGAATGGAACCACCTTTGAATGGAATAGAATGAAATCATCTTTGAATGGAATATAATGGAATCATCATCGAATGGAATCGAATGGAATCATGTAATGGACACGAATGGAATCATCATCAAATTGAATAGAAAGGAATCATCACCAAATGGAATCAAATGGAATCATGTAATGGACATGAATAGAATCATCATCGAATGGAATTGAATGGAATCATCTAATGTACCTGAATGGAATCATCACTGAATGGAATAGAATGGGATCATCAAATGGAATCGAATGGAATCTTCATCATATGGAATCGAGTGCAATCATTGAATGGACTCGAATGTAATAATCGCAGAATGGAATTCAATGGAATCATCGAATGGACTCGAATAGAATCATCATCGAATGGAATCAAATGTAATCATCTAATGGACCCAAATGGAATCATCATCGAATGGAATCGAATGGAATCATCGAATGGACTCAAATGGAATCATCATTGAATGGAATCGAATGGAATCATCGAATGGACTCAAATGGAATCATCATCGAATGGAATCGAATGGAATCATCGAATGGACTCGAGTGGAATCATCATCGAATGGAATGGAATGGAATCATCAAATGGATTAGAATGGAATCATCATTGAATTAAATCAAATGGAATCATCGAATGGCATCAAATGGAATCATCATTGAATGGAATCGAATGAAATGATCTAATGGACTTGAATGGAATCGTCGTTGAATGGAATCAAATGGAAACATCGAATGGACATGAATGGAATCATCATCGAATGCATTCGAATGGATTCATCATCAAATGTAATCGAATAGAATCATCATCGAATGGAATCGAATGAAATCATCGAATGGAATAGAATGGATTCATCTTTGAATGGAATAAAATAGAATCATCGAATGCAATCAAATGGAATCATCATTGAATGGAAACGATTGGAATCATCATCGAATGGAATTGAATAAAATCATCATCAAATGGAATGGAATGGAATCATCGAATGGACACCAATGGAACCATCATCGAATGGAATCGAATGGAATCTTCTAATGGACTCAAATGGAATCAACATTGATTACAATCGAATGGAATCATCATCAAATGGAATCAAAAGGTATCATCATCAAATGTAATTGAAAGGAATCTTTGAATGCAATAGAATTGAATCATCATCGAATGGAATCGAATAGAATCATCGAATGAAATGGAATGGAATCATCATTGAATGGAATCAAATGAAATCATCATCAAATGGAATCAAACGGAATCATCATCAAATGGAACCGAATAGAATCATAAACGAATGAAATCAAAAGGAATCATCACTGAAAGGAATCAAATGGAATCATCAATGAATGGAAACAAATGGAATCATTGAATGGAATTAAATGTCATCATCATCGAATTGAACCCAATGGAATCATTAAGTGTACTCGAATGGAATCATTGATTCGACTTAAATGGAATCACCATCAAATGGAATAGAATGTAATCATCGAATGGAATTGAATAAAATCATAATCGAATGAAATCAAATGGAATCATCGAATGGACTCGAATGGAATCATCATTGAATGGAATTGAATGCAATCATTGAACAGACTCGAATGGAACCATCATCGAATGGAATCGAATAGAATCATCATCAAATGGAATAGAACAGAATCATCATCAAATGGAAGCAGATGGACTCATCGAATGGAACAGAAAGGAATCATCATTGAACGGAATCAAATAGAATCATCGAATGAAATCAAATGGAATCATCATCGAATGGAATCGAATGGAATCATCATTGAATAAAATTGAAATTAATCATCATTGAATGGAATCCAATGGAATTATGATCTACTGGAATGGAATGGAATCATCAACGAATTCAATTGAATGGAGAAATTGATTGGAATCCGTTGGAATCATCATCGAATTTAACCGAATACAGTCATCATCAAATGGAATCGAATGGAGTCATCATCAAATGGAATAGAAAGGAATCATGTTTGAATTGAATAGAATGGTATCATCGAATGGAATAGAATGGAATCATCATCGAAAGAAATCAAAGGGAATCACCAAATGGAATCGAACGGAATCATCTAATGGAATTGAATGGAGTAATCATCGATTGGAATCAGATGGAATCATTGATTGGTATCAGATGGAATCATCGAATAGACTCGAATGGATAATCGAATGGACTTGAATGGAATCATCAAATGGAATCGAATGGAATAATCGATTGGACTCGAATGAAATCATCATCAAATGGTATCGGATGGAATCAATGAAGTGACTTGAATGGAATCGTCGAATGGACACGAATGGAATCATCATCGAATGGACACGAATGGAATCATCGAATGGAATTGAAAGGAATCATCATGGAATGGAATCGAATGGAGTCATGATCGAATAGAATCGAATGGAATCATCATCGAATGGAATTGAATGGAATCATCATCAAATGGAATCCAATGGAATCATCAATGAATGGAGTCGAATGGAGTCATCAAATGCCATTCTTTGGAATCATCATCGAATGGAACTGAATGCACTCAGCATCGAATGGAATCAAATGGTATCATCAAATGGACTCGATGGAATCATCATCACATGGAATCAAATGGAATCATCTAATCGACTTGAATGGAGTTATCTTTTGGTGGAATCGAATGGAATCATCGAATGCACTCGAATGGAATCATCATTGAATGGCATTGAAAGGAATCATCAAATGGACTTGAATGGAATCATTGAATGTACTCGAATGGGATCATCATCGAATGGAATCGAATGGAATCATCGAATGGTCACAAATGGAATCATCATTGAATGGAATCGAATGGAATCATCGAATGGACACAAATGGAATCATCATTGAATGGAATTGAATGGAATCATCGAATGCCATCCAATGGAATCATGATCGAATGGAATCTAATGGCATCATTGAATGGAATCGAGTGGAATCATCGAGTGGACTTGAGTGAAATCATCATGGAATGGAATCGAATGTATACATCGAATGGACTCGAACAGAATCATAATTGAATGGAATTTAATTAAATCATAATCGCATGGATTCGAATGGAAAAATCATCGAATGGAGTTGAATGGAATCATAATTTAATAGAATCGAATGGAATCACCGAATTGAATCAAATGGAATGATCATCGAATGGAATCAAAGGGATTCGTCAAATGGGATCTAAAGGACTCATTGAATGGAATTGCTTGGAATCATCGAATGGATTCCAATGGAATCATCTTCGAATGGAATCAAATGGAATCATAGAATGGAATCAGATGGAATCATCAATGAATGGAATAGAATAGAATCATCAAATGAAATCAAATGGAATCATCATCGAATGGACTCAAATGGAATCATCATCGAATGGACTCGAATGCAATCATCATAAAATATAATCAAAAGAAATCAACATCGAATGGAATCAAATGGAGACACCATCGAAATGAATTGAATGGAATCATCATGGAATTGAAACGAATGGACTCATCATCAAATGGATTCCAATGGAATCATTGAAAGGAATTGATTGGAGTCATGATCAAGTGTAATCGAATGGAATCATTGAATGGAATCGAATAGAATCATCATCGAATGGAAACGAATGGAATCATCATAGAATGGAATCGAATGGATTTATTGAATGGAATGAGATGGAATCATCATTGAATAGAATAGAATAGAATCATTGAAAGAAATTGAATGGAATCATCATTGAATGGACTTGAATAGAATCATCATCAAATGGACTCCAATGGAATCATCATCCAATGGAATCGAATGCAATCAACATCGAATGGAATCGAATGGAAAAACCATCGAATTGAATCGAATGGAATCATCATGTAATTGAAATGAATGGACTCATCATCGAATGGATTCTAATGGAATCAATGAATGGAATTGTTTGGAATCATCATCGAATGGAATCAAATGGAATCATTGAAAATAATCGAATGAAATCATCACTGAATGGAATCGAATGGAATCATCAAATGGATTCGAATGCAATCATCGACTGGGCTTGAATGGAATCATGAAGGAATGGAATCAAATGGAATCATCGAATGGACTCGAATGGAATCATCATCGAATGGAATCAGATGGAATCATCGAATGGCCTTGAATGGAATCATCGAATGGACTCGAATGGAATCATCATTGAATGGAATTGAATGGAATCATAGAATGGACTCGAATGGAATCATCATCGAATGGATTTGAATGGAATCATCGAGTGAAATCGAATGGAATCATCATCGAATGGAACCGAATAGAATCGGTATCGAATAGAATCGAATGGAATCATCATCTAATGGAATCGAATAGAATTTTCTTCAAATGGAATTGAATGGAATCATCATCGAAGAGAATCAAATGGGATCATCGAATGAAATCGAATGGAATCACCATCGAAAGAATCGAAGTAAAACAAAGAATGGAATACAAAGGAATAATCTAATGGAATCGAATGGAATCATCATTGAATGGACTCGAATGGAGTCATCATTTAATGGACTCAAATCGAATCATCATTGAATGGAATTGAATGGAATCATCTATTGGTCTCGAATGGAATCATCATCGAATGGAATCGAATGGAATCATCATCGACTGGAATTGAATGGAGTCTTTGAGTGAAATCGAGTGGAATCATCATCGAATGGAACCAAATAGAATCGGCATCGAATAGAATCAAATGGAATCATCATCCAATGGAATCGAATGGAATTTTCTTCAAATGGAATCGAGTGGAATCATCATAGAAGAGAAACGATTGGGATCATTGAATGAAATCGAATGGAATCATCATCAAAAGAATCGAAGTAAAACAAAGAATGTAACACAAAGGAACCATTGAATGGAATCGAATGGAATCACCATCAAAAAGAATCGAAGTAAAACAAAGAATGGAATACAAAGGAATCATCGAATGGAATCGAATGGAAGCATCGAATGGAATCATCATTGAACGGAATGGAATGGAATTGTCATCGAATGGAATCGAATGGAATCATCATGTAATAGAATCTAATGGAATGATCAACGAATGGAAACGAATGGAGAAATCAAATGGAATCCGTTGGAATCATCATCAATGGAATCGAATATAGTCGTCATCTAATGGACTCGAATGAAATTATCATCGAATGGAATCGAATGGAATCATCAGCAAATGGAATCGAAAGGAAACATTAGGGAATAAAATCGAATGGAATCATCAAATGGAATGGAATGGAATCATCAAGGAAAGGAATCAAAGGGAATCATCGAATGAAATCGAATGGAATCATTTAACAGAATCAAATGGAATCATCATCAAATGGACTCGAATGGAATTATCATCGAATGGAAGGGAATGGAATCATCGAATGGACATGAATGGAATCATCATCAAATGGAATCGGATGGAATCAAAGAAGGGACTTGAAAAGGATCATCGAATGGACACGAATGGAATCATCATTGAATGGAATCGAATGGAATCATTGAATGGATTCGACTGGAATCATCATCGAATGGAATCGAATATGATCATCATCAAAAGAAATCCAATGTAATCACTGAATGGACTCGAATATAATGATCAAATGGATGCGAATGGAATCATCAAATGGAATTGAATGGAATCACTGAATGGACTCGAATGGAGTCATTGAACGGACTCTAATGAAATCATCATCAAATGGAATCAAATGGAATCATCAAATGGACTCGAATGGAATCATTGAATGGACTCGAATGAAATCATCGAATGGACTCAAATAGAATCATAATCAGATGGAATCGTATGGAATCCTCAAATAGAAAATAATGGAATCATCAAATGGAATCGAACGGTATCATCAACGAATGGAATCAAATAGAATCATTGAATGGAATCGAAGGCAATCATCATCTAATGGAATCTAGTGGAATCATCGAATGGAATAGAAGTGAATCATCATCAAGTGGAATCGAGTGGAATCTTCAAATGCAATCGAATGGAATCATTGTCAAATGGAATCGAACGGAATCAGTGAATTAAATTGAATGGAATCACCAATGAATGGAATCGAATGAAATCATCATCGAATGGAATCGAATGGAATCTTCGAATAGACTCAAACAGAATCATCATCGAATGGAATCCTTTGAAATAAACTAATGGGCACGAATAGAATCATCATCTAATGGAACCGAATGGAATCATCTAATGTACTCGAATGGAATCATCATTGAATGGAATAGAATGGAATCATCGAATGGAATCGAACAGAATCATCATCATATGGAATTGAGTAGAATCATCGAATGGACCCGAATGGAATCACCATCGAATGGAATCATCATCGAATGGAATCAAATGGAATCATCATTGAATGGCATCAAATGGAATCATCGAATAGAATCAAATGGAATCATCATCAAAAGGAATCGAATGGAACCATCGAATGAAATCGAATGGAATCACCATCGAATGGAGGCGAATGGAGTCATCATCGAATGGAATCTACTGGAATCATCAGTTAAGAGAATCGAATGGAATCATCGAATGGTATCAAATGGAATCATCAACAAGTAGAATCGAATGGATTCATCTAATGGAATCCCATGGAATAATAATCAAATGGAACCGAATGGAATCATTGAATGGACTCGAATGGAATCATCATCGAATGGACTCTAATGGAATCATCATCGAATTGAATCGAATGGTGTCATTTAATGGACTCAAGAGGAATCATTGAATGGACTTGAATGGAAACATCATCGAATGCAGTCAAATGGAATCATCGAATGGCAACGAATAGCATCATCAATGAATGGAATCTAAGGGAATAATCAAATGGACTCGAATGGAATAATCGAATGGACTCGAGTGGAATCATCATCATATGGAATCTTCAAATGGACCCGAATGGAATCATCGAATGGACTCGAGTGGAATCATCATCATATGGAGTCTTCGAATGGGCTCGAATGGAATCTTCATCAAATGGAATCGAATGGAATCATCAAATGGACTCGAATGGAATCATTGTCAAATGGAATCTAATGGAATCATCGAAAGGACTTGAATGAAACCATCATCAAATGGGATCGAATGGAATCATCGAATGGCATCTAATGGAATCATCATCGAATGGAATGGAATGGAATCATCTAATGGACTTTAATGGAATTATAATCGAATGGTATCGAATGGAATCTATGAATGGACTCGACTGAAATCTTCATCGAATGCAATCGAATGGAATCATCCTCAAATGGAATCGAATGGAATCATCATCGAATGGAATCGAATGGAATCATCCAATGGAATAGAATTTTATCATCATCAAATAGAATCAAAGAGAATCATCGAATGGCATAGAATGGACTCATCATCAAGTGGAATGGAATGTAATCATCGAATGGAATCGAATGGAGTCATCATCAATGGAATCAAATGGAAAAATTGAATGGACTCAAATGCAATAACCGAATGGACTCGAATGGAATAATCATCGAATGGAAGAGAATGGAATCATCGAATGGACTCCAGTGGAATTATTATTGAATAGAACAGAATGGAATCATCTAATGAACTCGAATGGAATCATCATCGAATGGACTCAAATGGAATCATCGAATGGATTCGAATGGAATCATCATTGAATGGAATCCAATGGAATCATCGAATGGAATCATCATTGAGTGGAATTGAATGGAATCATCGAATGGACTCAAATGGAATCATCATGGAACTGACTCGAATGGAATTATCATATAATGGATTCAAATGGAATTATCGAATGGACTTGAATGGAATAATTGAATGGACTCGAATGGAATCATCATCGAATGGACTCAAATGGAATGATCGAATGGACTCGAATGGAATCATCAATTGGACCCAAATGGAATTATCAAATGGGCTCAAATGGAAATATCGAATGGACTCGAATGGAATTATTATCAAATGGAATCAAATGGAATCATTGAAAGGAATCAAACAGAATCATCGAATGGAATCAATCAGAATCGTCATCGAATGGAATCAAATGGAATCATCGAATGGAAATTAATGCAGTCATCATCAAATGGAATCGAATGGAATCATCTTTAAATAAAATCGAATGGAATTATTGAATGGATTCGAATGGAATCAACATCGAATGGAATCGAATGGAATCATCATCAAATAGAATAGAATGGAATCATCGAATGGAATCGAATGGAATCATCGTCGAATGGAATCGAATGGAATTATTGAATGGAATCCAATGGAATTATCATGGAATGGAATTGAATGGAATCATTAACGAATAGAATCGAATGGAATCATTGAATGGTATCATCATCAAATGGAGTCCAATGGAATCATCAAATTGACTCGAATGGAATCATCATCAAATGGATTCCAATGGAATCATCGAATGGAATCGAAAGGAATCATCATCAAATGGAATCGAATGATATCATCGAATGCACTTGAATGGAATCATCAACGAATGGAATTGAATGGTATCATAGAATGGAATCGAATGGAATCATCTTTGAGTGGAATCTAAAGGATTCACTAAGTGGACTCCAATGGAATAATCATCCCATGGAATTGAGTGGAATCATTGAATGTACTCGAATGGTATCATCAAATGGAATCGAATGGAATCATTGAATGGATTCGAATGGAATAGTCATCAAATGGAATCAAGTGGAATGATCAAATGGACTCAAATGGAATCATCATCAAATGGATTTGAATGGATTCATCGAATACACTCGAATGGAATCATCATCAAATGGAAATGAATGCAATCATCAAATGGACATGAATGGAATCATTTTCGAATGGAATCACATGGAATCATTGAATGGACTCGAATGCAATCATCGAATGGACCCTAATGGAATCATCATCAAATGGAAAAGAATGGAATCATCAAATGGACTTGAATGGAATCATCAAATGTACTCGAATGGAATCATTATCAAATGGAATCAAATGGAATCATCAAAAGGAATCGAATAGAATCATTGAATGGAATTGATCAGAATCATCATCGAATGGAATCAAATGGAATCATCATCAAAAGGAATCGAAAAGAATCATCATAGAATAGAATCGAATGCAATCATCGAATACAATAGAAGGGAATCATCATCGAATGCAACCAAATAGAATCATCGAATGAAATTGAATGGAATCATCATCGAATGGAATCTAATGGAATCATCACCAAATGGAATCGAATGGAATGATCAACAAATGGAATCGCATGGAATCATTGAATGGAAACTAATGGAATCATCATCACATGGAACCGAATGGAGTCATCATGGAATGGAATCAAATGGAATCATCATCCAATGGAATCGAATGGTATCACTGATTTGAATGGAATGCTCATCGAATGGAATCAAAGGGAATCATCGAATGGGAGCTAACAGAATCATCGAATGGAATCGAATGGAATCATCATATGGATTCGAATGGAGTCATCATCAACTGCATTCAAACGGAATCGTCATCGACTGGAATCGAATGGAATCATCATATGTATTCGAATGGAGTCATCATCAACTGCATTAAAACGGAATCGTCATCGACTGGAATCAAATGGAATCATCATCAAATGTTATCACATGGAATCATCAATGAATGTAATCGAATGGAATCATCAAATGGAGTCAAATGGAATGATCATCGAATAGAATCGAATGGAATCATCAAATGGAATCGAAAGGGATCATCCAATGGAATCGAATGGAATCATTGAAGGGACTCGAGTGGAATCATCATCGAATTCAATCTAGCGGAATCATTGAATGGACTCGTATGGAATCATCATCGAATGGACTCGTATGGAATCATCGTATGGCATAGAATGGAATCATCATCAAGTGGAATGGAATGTAATTGTCAAATGGACACGAACGGAATCATCATCAAATGGAATCGAATGGAGTCTTCGAATGGACTTGATTGGAATCGTCATTGAATGCAATCAAATGGAATTATCATCTAATGAAATCAGATGAAATCATCATCAGATTGAAGCGAATGGAATCATCACTGAATGGAATGGAATGGAGTCATCAAACAGAATCAGATGGAATCATCATTGAATGGAATCGAAGAGAAGCATCAAATGAAATCAAATGGAATCATCAACGAATGGACTTGAATGGAATCATCATCGAATGGACTCGAATGGAATCATCGTCGAATGCATTCGAATGGAATCATCATCGAATGGAACTGAATGGAAACATCGTCGAATTGAATCAAATGGAATCATCATGAAATTGAATCGAATGGCTCATGATCGAATGGAATCATCATTGAATGGAATCAAATGGAATCATTGAATGGACTCGAATGCAATCACCGAATGGACACAAATGGAATAATCATCAAATGGAATACAATGGAATCATCGAATGGACTCGAATGGAATTATGATTGAATGGAACAGAATGGAATCATCGAATGAACTCGAATGGAAACATGATCAAATGGACTCGAATGGAATCATCGAATGGATTCGAATGTAATCCAATGGAATCATTGAATGGAATCGAATGGAATCATCACAGACTGGAGTTGAATTGAATCATCAAATGGACTCGATCGGAATCATCATGGAATGGAATCGAATGGAATTATCAAATGGACTCGAATGGAATCAACTTTGAATGGAATTGAAGGGAATCATCGAAAGGTATCGAATGCAATCATCATCGAATGGAAACGAATGGAATCATCGAATGGAATTGAATGGAATCATCATTGAATAGACTCGAATGTAATCATCATCGTATGGAATCGAATGGAATCATCGAATGGACATGAGTGGAAGCATCGTCAAATGGAATCAAGTGGAATCATCGAATGGAATCTAATGGAATCATTGTCAAAAGGAATGGAATGGAATCATTGAATGGAATTGAGTGGAATCATCAATGAATGGAATCCAATGGAATCATCATCGAATGGAATAGAATGGAATCATGGAATGGACTCGAATGGAATCATCATCGAATGGAAACCTGTGGAACCATTGAATGAACACGAAATGAATCATAATCGAATGGAATCGAAAGGAATCATCATTGAATGCAATCACATGGAATCATCACCGAATGTAATCGTACTGAATCATCATGGAATGAAATTGAATGGAATCATCAATTGGACTCGAATGGAATCATCAAAGGGAATTGATTGGAAACGTCGAATGGACTCAAATGGAATCATCATTGAATGGAATCGAATGAACCATCGAAAGGACTCGAATTGAATCCTAAAATGGACTCGAATGGAATCATCGAATGCACTCCAATGGAATCATCATCGAATGGACCCTAACGGAATGATCGAATGGACTCGAATGGAATCACTGAATGGAAATGAATGCAATCATCGATAGGACTCAATTGGAATTATCGAAAGGGCTCAAATGGAATCATCAAATGGATTAGAATGTAATCACTATGGAATGGATTCGAATGGAATCATTGAATGGAATTGATCGGAATCATCATCGAATGGAATCAAATGAAATCATCGAATGGAATTGAATCCAGTCATCATCGAATGGAATCAAATGGAATCATCATTGAATAGAATAGAATGGAATCATCGAATGGAATCCAATGGAATCATTATGGGATAGAATCAAATGGAAACACTGAATGGAATCATCATCAAATGGAGTCCAATAGAATCATCAAATTGACTCGAATGGAATAATCATCAAATGGATTCCAATGGAATCATCGATTTGACTCAAATGGAATCATCAAATGGAATCAAATGATATCATCGAATGCACTTGAATGGAATGATCAACGAATGGAATTGAATGGTATCATCGAATGGAATCGAATGGAATCATCTTCGAGTGGAATCTAAAGGAATCACTAAGTGGACTCCAATGGAATAATCATCCCATGGAATCGAGAGGAATCATCAAATGTATTCGAATGGTATCATCGAATGGAATCGAATGGAATGATCGAATGGATTCGAATAGAATAGTCATCGAATGGAATCAAGTGGAATGATCAAATGGACTCAAATGGAATCATCATCAAATGTATTTGAATGGAATCATCGAATACACTCGAATGGAATCATCATTGAATGGAAATGAATGGAATCATCAAATGGACATGAATGGAATCATTGTCGAATGGAGTTATATGGAATCATTAAATGGACTCAAATGCAATCATCAAATGGACTCGAATGGAATCATGATCGAATGGAATCGAATAGAATCATTGAATGGACTCGAATGGAGTGATCAAAAGGACTTGAAAGGAATTATCGAATGGACTCGAATGGAATCATTGAATGGACCCTAATGGAATCATCATCGAATGGAAAAGAAGGGAATCATCATATGGACTCGAATGGAATCATCGAATGGACTCGAAAGGAATCATCGAATGGAATCTAAAGGAATCATCATTGAGTGGAATCGAATGGAATCATCGAATAAAATCGAATGTAATCATCCAATGGAATCTAACGG
The DNA here is from genome assembly GCF_000001405.40 of Homo sapiens. Lineage (NCBI taxonomy): Eukaryota > Metazoa > Chordata > Mammalia > Primates > Hominidae > Homo > Homo sapiens. The sequence continues at coordinate 62,351,853 of NC_000007.14, forward strand.
AATAATCATCTAATGGAATCAAATGGAATCACCGAATGGAATCGATAGCAACAATCATCTAATGGAATCATATGGAATCATCATTAAATGGAATTGAATGGAATCTTCGAATAGACACGAATGGAATCATCATCGAATGGAAAGGAATGGAATAATCAAATGGACTCGAATGTAATCATCATTGAAGGGAATCGAATGGAATCATCAAATGGAATTGAATGGAATCATCATCAAATGAAATTGAACAGAGTCATCGAATGACATCGAATTGAATCATCAACGAATTGAGTCGGATGGAATTATCGAATGGACTCAAATGGAATCATCATCAAATGGAATGGAATAGAATCATCGAATGGACTCAAAAGAATCATCATCGAATAGAATCGAAAGGAATCATCAAATGTAATAGAAGAGAATCACTGAATGGAATCGAATGGAATCAAATAGAATCGTCATCGAAAAGAATCAAATGGAATAATCATCGAACTGATTCATAAGGAATCATAATCGAGTGGAATCTAATGGAATCATCATCAAAGGGAATCGAATGCCACAACTGAATGGACACGAATGGAATCCTCTTCGAATGGAATCGACCGGAATCATCAAATGGAATAGAAGAGAATCATCATCGAATAGAATCAAATGGAATCGTCAACGAATGGAATCAAATGGAATAATCATCGAATGGATTTATATGGAATCATCATAGAATGGAATTGAATGGAATCGTCTTCGAATGGAATCGAATGTAATCATCATCAAATGGGATCAAATGGAATCATCAAATGTACTCGAATGGAGTCACCATCAAATGTAATTGAATGGAATCATCAAATGGACTCGAGTGGAATGATCGTCAAATGAAATCTAATGGAATCATCGAATGGACATGAATGGAATCATCACTGAATGGAATCAAATGGAATCATCGAAGGGAATGAGATGGAATCATCATCGAATGGAATCAAATAGAAGCATTGAATGAAATCAAGCAGAATCATAGGCGAACAGAATCGAATGGAATCATCATCGAATGGACTCGAATGGAAACATAGTGGAATGGAATCAAGTTGAATCATCATCCAATGGAATCAAATGGAAACATCATCGAATTGAATCAAATGGAATCATCATGGAATTGAATCGAATGGCTCATCATCAAATGGAATCGAATGGAATCATTGAATGGAATCATCGAATGGAATCGAATGGATTCATCATCTAATGGAATCGAATGGAACCATCGAATGAAATCGAATGGAATCATCTTCGAATGGAATCGAATGGAATTATCATCAAATGGAATCTAATGGAATCATCAACACAGGGAATCAAAAGGAATCATCATCGAATGTAATTGAATGGAATCATCAATGAATGGAATCAAATGGAATGATCATTGAAAGGAATTGTAGGGAATCATTGAAAAGAATCGAACGGAATCATCAAATGGAATCAAATGGAATCATCATTGAATGTAATCGAATGAAATCGTCAAATGGACAGGAATGTAATAATTTAATGGACTCGAATGGAATCATTAAATGGAACTGAACGGAATCATCGATTGAACTCGAATGGAATCATCATCAAATGGAATCGGATGGAATCATCGAAGGGAGTTGAATGGAATAATCGAACGGATTCGAATGGAAACAGCATCGAATGGAATCGAACTGAATCATTCAATGTACTCGAATGGAATCATCATTGAATGGAATCAAATGAAATCATCATCAGATGGAATCAAATGGAATCATCACTGAACAGAATCGAATGGAATCATCCAATGGACTCCAATGGAATAATCGAATGGACTCGAATGGAATCATAGAATGGAATCGAACGGAATCATCGAATGCACTCGAATGGAATCATCATCAAATGGAATCGGATGGAATCAATGAAGGGACTCAAATGGAATCATCGAATGGACTCGAATGGGATCATCAAGGAATGGAATCAAATGGAATTATTGAATGGAATCGAATGGAATCATTATCAAATGAAATTGAATACAAGCATCGAATGGAATCGAATGGAATCATAGAATGGAATCAGACAGAATCATCATTGAATGGAATCGAATAGAAGCATCGAATGAAATCGAATGGAATCATCATCAAACGGACTCGTATGGAATCATCATTGAATGAACTCGAATGGAAACATTATCGAATGGAATCCAATGGAATCATCATCGAATGGAATCGAATGGAAACATCATCTAATTGAATCAAATAGAATCATCACGGAATTGAATCGAATTGCTCACCGTCAAATGGAATCAAATGGAATCATCAAATGGAATCATCATCGAATGAAATCGAATGGAGTCATCATTGAATGGAATAAAATGGAATCATCCAATGGAAGAGAATTGAATCATTATCAAATGGAATCAAATAGAATAATTGAATGAACTCGAATGGAATCATCAACGAATAGAATCGAATGGAGTCAACATCGAATGGAATCGAATGGAATCATCATCGAATGGAATCGAATGGAATCATCATCGAATGGAATCGAATGGAATCATCCAATATAATAGAATTGAATCAGCATCGCATGGAATCGAATAGAATCATCGAATGAAATCAAATGGAATCATCATCGAATGGAATCGAATCATCAATGAACAGAATCGAATGGAATCATAGAATGGAATCCAATGTAATCATCATCGAATTGAACCCAATGGAATCATTGAATGGACTCGAATGGAATGATCATCAAATGGAATTGAAAGGTATCATCAAATGGACTTGAATGGAATCATTGAATGGACTCGAATGGAATCATCATCGAATGAAATCTAATGGAATCACCAAATGGACACGAATGGAATCATCATCTAATAGCATCAAATGGAATCATCGAATGGACTCGAATGGAATATCATCGAATGGAATTAAAAGCAATCATCGAATGGACTCCAATGGAATTATCGAATGGACTCTAATGAAATCACTATCGAATGTACTCAAATGGAATGATCGAATGGTGTCAAATGGAATCATCAATGGGACTCAAATGGAATTATCAAATATCCTCAAATGGAATCATTATCGAATGGAATCAAATGGAATCATCAAATGGAATCAAATGGAATTATTGAATGCAATTGATCAGAATCATCATCGAATGGAATCAAATGGAATCATCCAATGGAATCGAATGCAGTCATCATCAAATGGAATCAAGTGGAATCATCATTGAATAGAAACGAATGGAATCATCGAACGGAAGTGAATGGAATCATCGTCGAGTATAATCGAATGGAATAATCGAATGGAATCAAGTGGAATCATCGAATGGAATTGAATTGAATCAGCATTGAAATATATTGAATGGAATCATCATAGAATAGAATCGAATGGTATCATAGAATGGAATCATCGAATGGAATTAAATGGAATCAGCATCGAACAATATCGAATGGAATCATCATAGAATAGAATCGAATGGAATCATAGTATGGAATCATCATCAAATGGAGTCCAGTGGAATCATCAAGTGGACTCGAATGGAATCATCATAGAATGGAATTGAATGGAATCATCGAATGGAATCGAATGGAATCATCATCAAATGGAACCAAATGGTATCATTGAATGCACTCTAATGGAGTCATCATTGAATGGTATCGAATGGTACCATCGAATGGAATCGAATGGAATAATCTTCAATTGGCATAAAAAGGAATCACCGAATGGACTCGAATGGAATAATCATCGAAAGGAATCGAATGGAATCAACCAATGGAATCGAATTGAATCATCACTGAATGGACTAGAAAGGAATCATCTTCATATGGAATCGAATGGAATCAATGAAATGGAATCGAATGGAATCATCATCGAATGGAATCAAATGGAATCATCATCGAATGGAATCAAATGGAATCATCATCGAATGGAATCAAATGGAATCATCATCGAATGGAATCGAAATGAATTAACGTCAAATGGAGTGGAATGGAATCATTATTGAATGGAATCCAAAGGAATCATCATTGAATGGAACAGAATGGAATCGTCATCGAATGGAAACGAAAGGGGTCATTATCGAATGGAATTGCATGGAATCATTATTGAATGAAATCGAATGGAATCATCAAATGGAATCTAATGGAATCATCGAATGGAATTGAACGGAATCATCATCGAATAAATTGAATGAAATCATCGAATGGTCTCGAATGGAATTATTATCAAATGGAAACGAAAGTATCCATTGAAAAGAATCGAATGGAATAATCATCGAATGGACTCGAATGGAATCATCATCAAATGGAATCGAAAGGAATTATTGAATGGAATCAAATAGAATCATTGAATGGACTCGAATGGATTCATCGAATGGAATAGAATGGAATGATCAATGAACACGAAAGGAATCATCATTGAATGGAATCGAATGGAATCATCGAATGGAATCAAACGGAATCATCATCGAATGGAATCAAATGGAATCATCATCGAATGGAATCGAAAAGAATCATCATCAAATGAATTTGAATGTAAGCATCATTGAATGGAATCCAAAGGAATCATCATTGAATGGGACCAAATGGAATCATAATCGAATGGAACTGAAAGGAGTCATCATTTAATGGATTCTGATGGAATCATCATCGAAAGGAATCGAATGAAATCATCATCTAATGGAATCTATTGGTATCATCTAATGGAATTGAATGTAATCATCATCGAATGAATTGAATGTAATCATTGAATGGTCTCGAATGGAATCCTCATCAAATGGAATTGAATGGAATCATCGAATAGAATCAAATGGAATAATGATTGAATGGACTCGAATGGAATCAACATCAAATGGAATCAAATAGAATTATCAAATGGAATCGAATAGAATCATTGAATGGACTCGAATGGAATCTTCGAATGGAATTGAATTGAATAATCTACAGACTCGAATGGAATAATCATCGAATGGAATCGAATGGAATCATCGAATGGACTCGAATGGAATCATCATCAAATGGAATTAAATGGAATCATGGAATGTACTCGAATGGAATCTTCATCTAATGGAATCGAATGGAATCATCGAATGGACTCGAATGGAATCATTGAATGGATTCATCAAATGGACTCTAATGGAATCATCATCGAATGGTATCGAATGGAATCATCGAATGGAATCAAATGGAATCATCATGGAATGAAATCGAATGAAATCATCGAATGGAGTAGAATGGAGTAATCTTTGAAAGGAATCAAATGGAATCATCCAATGGACTCGAATGGAATCATCATTGAATGGAATCGAATGGAAACATCAAATTCAACAGAATGGAATCATTGAATGGACTCGAATTGAATCATCATCGAATGGAATTGAATGGAATCATTGAAAGCACTTGAAAGGAATCATCGAATGGACTCGAAAGGAATCATCATCAAGTGGAATCCAACAGCATCATTGAATGGACTCGAAAGGAATCTTTGAATGGACTCAAATGGAATCATCATCGAATGGAACCTAATGGAATCATCAAATGGACTCGAATGGAGCCCTCATCGAATGGAATCAAAGGGTATCACCGAATGGACTTGAATGGAATCATCGAATGGCCTCGAATTGAATCATCATTAAATGGAATCGAATGGAATCATCTCATGGACGCGAAAGGAATCATCGAATGGACTCAAAAGGAATCATCACCAAGTGGAATCGAGTGAAACCGTCGAATCGGTTCGAATGCCATCATCGAATGGCCTCGAATGGAATCATCATCGAATAGAATCTAATGGAATCATCACATGGACTCGAATGTAATCATTATAGAATGGAATCATCATCAAATCGAATGGAATGGAATCATCGAATGGAATCGAATGGAATCATTGGAATCAAATGGAATCAAAAGGAATAATAGAATGGACTCGAATGGAATCATCGAATGAACTCTAATGGAATCATCATCGAACGGAATCCAATGGAATCATTGAATGGACTCGAATGGAATAATCATCGAACGAAATTGAATGGAATCATCGAATGGAATCGAATGGAATCATCATCAAGTCAAATCGAAAGGAATCATTGAATGGAATCGAATGTAATAATCATCGACTGGAATTGCATGAAATCATTGAATGGCCTCATATGGAATCATCATCGACTGGAATCACATGGAATCATCGAATGGCCTCAAATGGAATCATCATAGAAAAGAAACTAATGGAATCATCAAATGGACACGAATGGAATCATTATCAAATGGAATCGAATGGAGTCCTCGAATGCAATCGAATGGAATCATCAATGAATGGAAGAGAGTGTAATCATCATTGAATGGAATCGAAAGTAATCAACGAACGGACTCGAAAGGAATCATCATCAAGTGGAATTGAATGGAATCATCAAATGGACTTCAATAGAGTCTTTGAATAGACTCGAATGGAATCATCATCAAATGGAATTGAATGGAATCATCTAATGGACTCGAATGGAGTCCTTTTCGAATAGAATTGAAGGGAATCACCAAATGGACTTGAATGGAATCATCAAATGGCCCAGAATGCAATCATTATCGAATGAAATCGAATGGAATCATAGAACAGACTCAAATAGAATCATCCAATGGACTCAAAAGGAATCATCGAATGGCCTCGAAAGGAATCATCATCACATAGAATTGAATGGAACCATCAAATGGACTCAAATGGAATCATCATCGAAAGTAATAGAATGGAATCATCAAAGAAAGGAATCAAATGGAATCATCATGAAATGGAATCAAATGGAATCATCAAATGGAGTCGAATGGAATCATCCTCGAATGGAATCAAATGGAAACATCGAACGGATTAGAATGGAATCATCATCGAATGAAATCGAATGGAATAATTGAATTCAACCGAATGGAATCATTTAATGGACTCGAATGGAATCATCATCGAATGGAATGTAATGGCATCATTGAAGGTACTCGAAGGGAATCATCGAATTGGCTCGAAAGGAATCATCATCATAGTCTCCTAACAATATATTCATTTTTTAAAAAATTTTTTGAAAGCAAATGTGCTTTATAATCTAACAGTGATATTTCTACTAATGAACGTTTGTGGATCTGTTTGTACTCTTTTTCTGCTTTCCTTTCAAATGGTGGAATATCATTTCCTTGCATACTTAGATGCCTTTGAATGACAAATATTTATTTGTCTCTAAAAATTATTTTTGTGCACTTTTGCGGATTAGTAAATAGGAAATTTGCCAAAGAGAATTTCAATTGTTTTGTGATTCTACTAAAGACACCACCATTCTGGGACCACATTATGTTAATTCTTGGCCTAAAGGTGTTCGGACGTATGTTTGGACTGCACATTTAAACAATTTTTAAATTAGTTGCTGTAAATCATTAACGATTGAGTTTCTTTAAATCTGTCCAATCTCAAGTCATTTTTATTTGCCATTTCCAGGGAATGTGAAATGGGACTAATTTACCTCTGATTCTTCTTTATACTGAGGATATAAATTTTGGTCCTAGCTTTAGGGAGGAGCTCCTGTGTGATGCCCTATCTTGGGAAAATCTATGTATTTCTTTACTCTCCTATGTGATGTATGACAGTAGGAATCTGCACTCATTCATTTTGCTACATGTCCGTAGGGCAAAATCAGTTTCGGTGTTTAGTTATATTTTGTCTGCTCCCTGCATTCCCATTGTTTTGCCATTATATTTTACTTTTATTTGTGAACATACCAGTGCTTCAAATTTTTTCCAGTAATATATTCAACTATATTATGAGAAAGAGAAAAATTTTGATAAAACACAAATTTCATGTTTTCCTTCTCTAATTGGCTTCTACCTAAAAATACAGGTAAAATTTATTTGTGCTTTTTTGCTATTTCAGTTTTGCTATTCTCTGTTTGTCTATGTCTTCTCCACATAGACACAATTAGGGAATTTTGTACACTCTTGTGCCAACTGCTTTGATAGTAATAAAATGTATTTCTCGAACTCCTAGGTATAAAACTCAAGTATCCACAATTTAAATTCTTTTTTGCTCACTTCTATTATGTTTCCAGTCTCAATAGAAATCGATGCCAATCCAGAAATACAAGCATTATTCTAATACTTCTCACACATTACAGGTATAGATTAAATTTTCTAGATCTCCTTAAATACTATCATTTTTCACTACTTGTATCTTAACTGTTAAGTTCAGCATTTTCTGTAATATTAATAAGTTGTGAAAATTTCCTTACTTTCTTATTTGTCCCAAGTTCAAGGTTTGGCGGTCCCTACCTCACCCTGTGAAGCATAAATATTGTACTATGCTGTACAAATATTACATAGTTCATGTGCTTAGAGATTGCACAATTTTTATTTGGTTGACAATAGCTAATGTTTTCTTCTTCATTTTCTATTTCCTGATTTTTCTTTATTTAGCATATGCTACATTATCATAAAAATGAGAACGTTTTACAAACTAAAGCAAAAGAAACCCTAGGAAAAAAATGCACAAATAAAATATATAAACATACATTTAGACGTACCATGTACACTTCTAATTTATTTAGATTATTAATTGTAGTACAATTTTAATTAAAGTCTGTGTATTATCTGCCATCATCTTAGTATTTTTTTATATAACAAATTGTGTAAATCAAGAAGCCTCAATGTCATTATAAACTATCTTGGCAGAGGTTGATCCCCAAGGAATAATTTCTCTCCCAAATTATGTCAATCAGAATTTCACTCTACCATAATTCTTTTAATCAGTTTCAGAGGAATCATAAATTTCAAAACTGTTCAAGGTAGTTGTTGTAGTTCAAGTACATTTAGACAGGTGTAAAACTGTAGACAGACTGATACAAACGTATTCTAATTGACACAAAAGTGTATGGGACCTATTTTAAAATCTAGACTTTAAGATGTCGTGTCAAAGTACCCATGTTCTCCTTGTGAAATAATTGCTTTTTATTCTCTGGATAGAATAATTTAATCTTTAAACCTTCAATTCACTGCAGGAAACAAAATATTGCATAAGGATATGTTTATAAAAATAATTAGCAACTAGTTTTTCAATTCAGAAATATATTTGAAAAATCATCAATCATCTTATGGATTTCAAGGAGAAATGGGTTAGTAATTTATTCCATATGCCTCAATTTTTCCTAGATTCAAGGTTTCTTTTAAAACAATTGTAGGCATTTAAGAAACTATGTAAACTAAAAACGAAATTGTGACACTGCCGCTTAGGTTTTTTAAATCTTTGGACATGAATCAATATACTTTTTAATTTTATCTTAATTAGACATTGTGAGTTCACTATCTTCCTGTAAGTATAGCATCCAAGCTGATTATCATAGATTACAAATTCAACAAACAACTGTGTTCTGAGACTCTAAAAAAATAAATGAATGTATTTGTTTGGGTATTCTTAAAGCAGGAGTGAGGACACAGTGAAAGTAAGACAAGGAAGAGAGAACAAAATAAAACAGGAAAGATAGAAAAGCCAATACCACACGTGTTAAGAGGCAAGATCCTGCGTTAGATATCTGGGCTTAATTCTATGGGTAGCTATGTGGAAGATGCCTCAGAATTACATCACTGAATCCAGGGAGATTCTTCTTAGTTACCCTCACCTTTTCTTCCCACTTCATGCCCAGTATCAAACTCCCGTGCTGCTAGAGAAAGTCCTCAGCTAGAAACAGCTGCAAATTCTGGAGATGACACTCTGTAGAGTGTTAAGAATGGTTTTCTTCCCAGCAGCTACAGGTAAGGAATAGGGGCTGGGCTATTAATACATCTGCTACAAATCAATATACCCCTTATGCTCCTTTTGGTGATCGACAATGTATTTAAAAATATTAGATGATCAAGAAGAGCTGCAGAAAGGAGGAAAAAGAAACAAACAGCACACCTCTTGGTTTATTTTTGTTCATTTCATCAGTTTCAAGGAAAATGTGTTGGGAGTTCCTGGCATAGAGAATGTCACAAAGATATGTTTTCAATAGTGGTGCTATCCCTAGGGCAGAGAAGATCCAGAGAAAGCCCAAGTGGCTGCTGGAACAAAGTCAGACACCGTGCCACCTGTCCACACTCCTTGGCTCTGCCATCATGCTGAAGATTGGTTTAAAGGTCTGGCTTCCCTCCCCGCAAAATTAAAAGAGCACAAACTGAGAAACTGAATGTGGGAGACAGCAGTGGGTTATGCTGTTCTCAGGGGTCACCTCAGGTTTGGAAGCGTTCTTTCAAATTAACCCATCTCAGGCCATCTGCAGAGAAGAAAGGTGGTACCTAACATTTTTTCTTGTCAGCACTTGGTAGGGGTGTTTTATTGACCAAATATGTTCCCACAACCTAGTTTTTTGTAACTAAATATAGTAGATTTTTAAATTTTATCATCAAAATCTATAGACAATTTTTTATTAAAATAGGCTCCACATCTATGTCCTGCTTTTCTTCTTATTAATTACATTGCTGTATGAAAGAACAAGACTTCAGAATCAAGAATATCTTGTCTCTTGGCATTGAATTTATACAAGGTGCTCTTTCTTTAATGCTGTCTCAAAGGGCATATTTTTACTCATTAAAAAGGAAGATCAGAATCTAGTTGTATGCACTGCTCCAACGTATTAATAATTAAAATTAGGATGTAAATGTGGTCAAAGCTATAGAAAGATTTGGGATGTCGTTTATATTGATTACTGTATAGCACTCTACAAACAGAAATTGTGAAATAATAGCTTATATAAATATTTTGTAGCATTTCAAATATTAGAGTGCCTGAAGTTTCTCCTCTTATATAGTTCAGATTATCAATTTGAATAGTTACTCCACTGGTTAAAAAGTTTTTAGTCTCGTTTCAGTATTAATATAAAAGCAATTTTCAGTTAAAAGTGTTCCGCTTACATAAAACATTAGAAACTAGTGAGTATTTAATTACATTTTCGTATTCCTGTAATGCCTTTAGAAGATTTTCATATTATTACCTATCAATATATGTATGCTTTGTCTAAGAAAAATCAATCATATACATCATTGAAATGGAAACTTTTTAAAAGTACTTATTAATTCTATTGAAAAACCACATCCATAGGAGCAATTACAATATAATATTGTGAACATGTAAATATATATCCTATGTCTATTTTATATAGAAGCATATGTGATTAAAAATATAGTTAATAATTTTTAAACCTAGTTTCATAAAGTAAAAATTAGTTAAACTTCTGATGATTATTTGTTAATTAAGATAAAATTATTTTGATTTGGGTGATTTTAAATGAACAAAAATATTAAGTTACATGACAAAAATTATTTATAAAATGTTTACGATTTTTACTTTGGTTTTATCACTTTATTCCATTATTTTATTTTAAGAAGACCTGCCTTATTTAAAACACTGTATTCATCTTAATTAAATTAAATTCCATTTGTAAAAAAGTTAACAAATGATTTGCTCTATTATACAGTGTGGTTATAAACTGAGTCGGTATCTCAAGATTTGATCCCCATTATCGTCATCCATGGCCCTATTTGTTTGATAAATGTACTGTCTTTTTCCATGCCTGTCACATCTCTATTGCTCATTTATTTTTCTCCTTGTCCCTTATAGGGAGCATTGCCTATCTCTAGATTAAGCAAAAGTTGCATCTTAAAAAAGCACAATAACCTGCTCAAACTTTCTCACACAGAGAAATGTTTGTTAAGTAATTAAAGTGTAGATGATGATACAAAGAGCTTGATTAAATAAGATGCCAAAGTACCCTTGTGATTCAGAATATGAATGGTATTTAATGCCTTTGAAATCAATAATTGCTGAGTGACAGTAATTAATGCCAATATTTCAGAAGTTGTTCTGGTTAGTGAAATGTGTACAACATGTAAAAATTTCCGAACTCTGAAGGGCAACATTATTCTTTAATTAAGAATTAAGAATTAATTCATTAATTATTGGGGAGAAATAATTTCAAGAATTAATGACCGATAAAACGTTTTTATTTTTTATTTAGAAAATTATTTTGTGCATGAGCATTACTGCAAGTTTTGCAAGAAACAAATTTATAGCAACAATTATGTGCACAAGATGAATTTAATAACATCTTGATATTTTCCACTATTACAGTTGTATTTGGTACATCTTTAAATGCCCATCATCTAAAGATCATAAATGAATCTTGGAAATCTTGTAGGTAAGGGTAAATATAAGGACGCATCCAATTACATTTACACACACATACAATTACATTTACACAAGCATACATGCACACACGCTCACTGATACAGGTATGCATATATATACATGAATTTACCAATTGATTTTAACTAATATTTATAAGAGCCTGTAGGATTGATATATATTGTTGAACCTGAAAAATATTTATTATATACATGTTTAAAATACACAAAGAAATAAACAGTAATTGCACTAGGCATTTGAAACTGTACTTAAATATAAGCTGTGATCATTACAAATTCTTACACTGAATAAATATCTTTATTTTTATAATATGATACATGTGTACATTTTTTAAAATGTATTATTTTTGTCATAGAGTCATGTCATGCATAATAATATTTCAGTCAAAGGTGGATTACATATACAAAAGTTGTCCCATGAGATTATAATACATATTTTTACATACTTTTCTATGTTTAAGTATGTTTACATACATAAACTCTTACCACTGTGTTCTTATTGCCTGCAGTATTCAGTATAGTAGTGTAGTACACAGGTTTGTAGCCTAGGAGAGAGAGGTTATACCATATAACCTAAACGTGGTAGGCTGTACAAACTAGGTGTTTGTAATATTTTCTCTGACGTTTGCAAAATGATGAAATTGCCTATGGATGCATATGTTAGAACGTATCCCTGTCATTCAGTGATGCGTGACTGTGCTGAAATGCTCAATCTAAGTTTCAATGACCTCCATAACATTGTTGTACTGTGAAATACAAATCTCTAACCTATGGCCTGAATATGTTTGCAAACTAAGCAGATCATGGGAAGGAGAATGTGCTGGAATCGCTGGGAAGATTTTCTCACACTACCTGAATAATATCTCCAGACTTTGCGAATATGAGCCACTTGCATAGAGTTAAAGTAAGCATCTCTTTGCTGGGAAATTTATCAAATGGGATTATGAAGTGTTTTCAAATGATACTTGTTTGTTTGTAGACGGTAGGCCTACAGTGGCTCATGGCAATGGTTGAGGTTGCTAAGATTTGGTGGAAGAAGGCAAAATGAAATGGCCACTTATATGGTATATGGATCACATGTTTCTGTTGAGTTACAGATTCAGCTGGCTATTTCTCCCAATGTTAGTTATTTGGAGAAAAGAAACATGATAGTAATTTTGGGGTAACAAATACAATATTTGATGAAAGCAAATTTATTGAGGGTTAGACAAACTACAAGATAATTTAGGCTGCAAAGTCAACACGAGGCTTCTGGCCCAAATTGTGCAGAGTTTGGGTCCAGCTGCAAAGTTCAAAGGAAGAGGCCATATAAGATGATTCGCATTTTTGTCACCAACTGCCAGTTCAGGGGTTTCCCCAGAACACCCTCAGTTTCAAGAATTTACTAAAAAGACTCACAGAACTCATTGAATGCCATTGTACTCATAGTTTATAATAGAGAAAGGGTAGAAATTAGGACCAACCAAAGGAAGAGACATTTCACATAAGGTGGAATCTAGGAGGATTTTGAATGTTAATTTTCCATTGTCTTCAGGACATATTACCTGTCATTGTTGTACAGCAATAAACATGGAGTACTACCAACCTGGGGAGCTCACCTGATGCTAAAAAGACACTATTTAGAAAATGAAAAGACAAAGGAAAGGAGGAGATAAGATGACCTTCCACATTAAGGCACTGGAAAGTATAGCAAAATAAACCTAAAGCCAGCAGAAGGAAGAAAATAAAAATTAGAGAAATTAATAATTTATAATATTAATCATATTTGTTAGTATTGACTAATTGATATTAATTCTTGACTGACTTTTTTTAAAAAGAGAAATATTCCCTTCCCAATTTATTCTGTGGGGCCAGTGTTACCTTGATACAAAAATTAGTCCAAATAGCATAGAAAAATAAAACTACTATAAGTATAAATGCAAAATTCCTTAAAAAATACTAAAAAATCAGATCTAGCAACATATAAAAGAATTATACACTATGACAAGGTGAAATTTATACTAGTAATCTCAGGTTGGTTTAACAGCCCAAAATCCATTAAGGTAATACATCTTATCCATAGAATAAGAAACGAGAACTGCATGATCATCTCGATAGATTCCGAAAAGACATTTAACAAAATCCAAATGCTTTAATGATTAAAAATAAAAATAAAAACTCAATGAACCAGGAAGAGAGAACTTTCTACACCAGATACATGGCACCTGCGAAAAGCCAACAGCAAGCATGCAACTTAATGGTAAAGGATGCTTTCCCGCTATGGTCAGAGATAAGAATAGGATATATAATTGGACCTCTTCTAGTTAACACTGTACTAAAGATTTTATGCAGGGCAAATCGGCAACTAAAAAAAAAGAGTCACCCATATTGAATAGGAAGAAATAAAATTTTATTTGAAAATAACATTCTTGTATATAGAAAATTTTAAGGAATCCACTGAACGATAGAACTCGTAAATTATTTCAGCAATATTACAGCATACAAGATAAATGTACAAAAAAATCAATTGCACACACCTACAATGAAAACCCCAAAATGAAATTAAGAAAACACTTCAATTTAAAATAGCATCAAAAAAATAAATAATAATTAATTTGGAAAATGTGATACAAGATTTTACTCTGAAAATTAAAAATTATTGTTTAAAGAATATCTAAATAATTAGCAAACATCTTCCACCCATGAACTGGAAGATTTAATATTGTAGTACTTTGCAAGTTGAACTACAGATTTGACGTAATCCCTGCAAGTATCCCAACAGACTTCTGTCTAGAAACGGACAAGCTGATTCTAAAATACACATGGGATTGTAAGGGACTCAAAATAGCCAAAATAGTCTTGATAAAAGAAAACATATTAGGATAACTCACACCCCCGTGCTCCAAACCTTACGGCAAAGCATCAGTAATCAAGACAACAAAATACTGATGAAGGAAAAATATATAGATTGATGGAAGAGAATTGAGAGTCCATATATAAAACTATGTATCTATAGTCAATGGATTCTTAAAGTGGTGCCATGTGCAATTCAATGAGGAAGAGACAGTCTTTGAACAAACTGGGTCAACAATGTACACGTGGATCGCCACTTGCAAAATAGTAAATTGGAAGCCTTACCCCAAAGCATACAAAAATATTAACTCAAATGAATTAAAGACATGCATGCAAGAGCTTGAATAAAGCATATGCAAAAATCTTCAGGATTTTGGATCTAGCAAAGAAATATCTGTAACCCCAAAAACATGAGCAACAAAATAAAAATTAGATATTTAAAATTTCTTAAAAATTAAAGACATTGGTGTTTCAAAGGACAACCAAGCAAGTCAAAAGGCAGCTCAAAAATTGTGAGAAAATATTTGAGAAACACATATCTATATGTCTGCATATATATGTATCTTGAATATAGAAAAATTGTTTTAATTCAGTAACAAAAATCCCAACTCAAAACTGATAAATGATAGGAATAGATGTGTAGCCCAAGAAGATACACGAACGGTCAATAATCCCATAAAAACATACTCAACAACATCACTCATCAGGCAACTACAAATCAAAACCACAGTTAAATACTCTATGGCTAGAACTGGCCACTTTGGAAAATAGGTTGATGGCTTCTAAATATATGAAACATAGAATTGTCATATGACCCAGAAATGTATTCCTAGGTATACCCCCAGAGTATACAGATTTGTGGTTGCTTAGGATTGAGTAGGGGATGAGTGCATAGGAGGGTAACAGCTAGAGAAGGTGGGGTTTCTTTTTGAAGTGATGAAAATGCTCTAAAATTCATTGTGCTGATGGCTCCACTTATCTGTGTATATACTAAAAGCCATTGACTTGTAGACATTAATATGCGCACTCTACAGTATGTAAATTATATCTCAATAAATCCTTTCAAAAATACACAAAAGACTAATGGGTTTTGGAATGTTGCAGCTGGGAGGCAGTTTGAAATACTGAATAGGTCTCATCGAGAATGTGAGGTTTCAGTAAAGACTTGAGGAAGTTGAATGAGCTGATCAATGCATATATGGAAGGTTATCTTTCAAAGCCAAGAAATTAACTAGAGTCTTGGTCATAAGACAGCAGCATGTTGGCATGTCCAGAGGACAGTGAGGTGGCCAGGACCACTGGTAAGATCAAGGGTGAAGACATAAAAGAATTTTGGCGGTTAACATGCGGCAGATCACGATGGGCTTGCAGAGCATTGTAAGAATTGTATCTTTTAGTGTAAATGAAATGAGGAGACAAATCATTATCCCATTATCAATATTTTAATAAATTGGATCCATGAACCAAATCCAATGAGATTAAATCAATTAGTAATAATATGCAAATTTGTATTAAAATTACAAGAATTCCTTGCACATTTGAGAACAGGAGAGTCATGATTGTTTATCAGCAATAATAAACTATTAATTTTAATTGTCATCAGCTAATTGAGATTAATTGCAATACATCATGCTTTATAATGTGACTGTCAAAAGGAAAATATGATTTTAATCTTATACTACATCTATCAATGTCTTTGATTCATAGGTCTATAGAATAAGCCCCTAGTTTTCAAAGCCAACTGATGAGGCAGCGACATCTTATGCAAGTTTGCTGCTTTCTGCCACAGTGGTCCTTGGTCAGCTGGCACAAGTTGTTTTACCAACACCACTAGGTCTAAAAAACGTTTGGATCACAATGAACACAGAAACACCTTCATCCCTTCAGAAATACCTATCAATTAGTTCCAATACAGAATGAAAAATTGACAACGGAAGTATGTTGATTGTAAAAATGCCAGATAGCTTGCATCTACATGAAAGAAAAATGCCATTTTTATTACATTAGATCATTGTTTTACATGAGTTTTGGTATAGCACAATGTTGCACCAAGGGCAAAGAGAGATGAATTAATGAAGTCTTAAGATATCAAGAATTTGAAAGAAAAGGCAGGTCATCTTTGAAGGTTAGTGACATAGCATTCATCTTCTGTTGTCACCTTTTCCGTCATTCCCTGTATGCCTGATGGACCGCTTTCACTCAAGTTCAGAGAACAGCATGCAAAGATTAGCTACCAACTTTTTATTATGAAGTGAGCTTAAATTCAAGCCAGACTGAGCTTACGTTTTAGCAGGAAGCATTTTTGGGAAATGTTTATGTTAGAGATTGCCCTTCTTGACAAGGTGAGACATAAATGTCTACTTTATAAACATGAATTTATATGGGAAGATATTTGAGGGAAACATTTTCTCAAATGCTAAATAACAAAGGTACACAAAGGGGAAATTATACTAGATTTATTTCCCACTTGTTTTCTATGTCTCATGCAATTCACCTTGATTCCCTTCAGTTTCTGTTTAATGTAGAAAGCGGCGTTTTCATTATTTTAAGCTTCTAGCACAATGAAAGTATTTCTCTTTTTCATGAACTGCATCATAAATGAAAGGGAGGAAGAGTGTCCAATATCATATTTATTGTTCAACAAAACACTGCTCCACTGCTTAAATTCGGTTTAAAAAAGAGAATTTATTGAACATCTAACACATACATAAAAGGCAGTAAAGACAAATGAGAAGAGGGCAGGATATTGAAGTATACAGACTTTAATGCTAAGTTTTGTATCTTAGTAAGTTACTGCACCTTACAGAGACTCAATTCCCCCTGATTTAGGAAGGCGATGCTAATGGGTATTGCATAGGTGTAAGTATAAAAATGTTGTATTTAAGAGAATCCCACAAGCTTGGTATAAGGCAGAAAATAAATAGGTGTGACATTCATGAGTAGTTTATTACATTTGTACGCTACCTGCAGACTAGAGGAAGCAAGAAACACAGCCACAATGCTTGATTAGCATTATATTCTAATTTGGAATATAAATAGAAAAGAGAAAAATAGAAAGCTATGCATAAACACATGCATTAAAATGAATTTTATGTGGACTCTTTCAGGAAAATGTTCCTAAGGTAGTTTATTTTTTTATTGTGGTAAAATACACATAACATAAAATGTACTCTGTTAACCATTTTAAGTGTACAGTTCAGTGGTACTAGAGTCATAACATTGTGCAGCCATCACTACCACCCATCTCCATAACTCGTTTCAACTTGTGAAACTGAAACTCTATACCCATTAAACAGTATTTCCCCATGTCTTCCTCTCCCCAGCTTCTGGCAATCATCGTTTTAGTATCTCTGTGATTCTGTCCCTTTTAAGTCTCTTATACAAATGGAATTATACTGTATTTGTCCTTCACTGACTAACTTATTTCACTTGGCATAATATCCTCAAGTTTCATCCAAGTTGCAATATATGTCAGTATATTTCCCTCATGATTAAGGCTGAATAATTTTCCATTGTATGTATGTATCATGTTTTGCTTATCCATTCATCTGTTGTTGAACACTTCAATTGCTTCTACGTTTTAGCTATTGCCAATAATGGTGCATGCAAACATGGATGTGCAAATATTTTTTCAATACTCTGCTTTGAATTCTTTTGCTATCTTGAGATGTGGGGCTGCCGAATCATAAGGCAATACCATTTTGATGTTTTGAGGAACTACCATACTCTTTTCCACAGCAAACATAGGGTTTGGCATTCCCTCCAATATTGCAAAATGAATCGCCACATCCTTGCCTGTGGATTTTATTCACAATTCCTGTGGCCCTCTCTACATCCCGGCCACCATGTGTTGTTTCCTGTTTATATATATGACATCAAAGGTGCAGGAAGTAATGAACTAAATTGGAAGGATAAACATGTAGAAAAATAGAGGTAAATACTGACTACATAAAACCATAAGAATAAGAATTTTGGATGATCTATCTATTATATATCTATTTATCTAACATCTATCTGTTCCTCCATCTGTAATTAAAATACATTACAGTTAGAGAACAGAGAAAAAAGTAGGAATACGTGAATTTAAATTTTAATTCTTCTTAGATTGTCTCACAGCATCATTATAAGACAGAAAATTTATAGGTCAGTATCTGTTAACTATAAATGTAGCATTTTTAAAGTATTCAAATACATTGAATTACAGCATGAATAACATATTACAATCCATTCAAGTTTATTTTGTTCCAGGAACACAAAAATACAAATTTCATTTGCAATTCAAGAAAAATAGAAATCGAAACATATGAGGTATATACACATTTAATGTATTTTTAAATATACATTTTTAAAAAATAAAATTTTTCTAGGACAACTACTTAAAATATCTCACTGAAAATAGTGTTATTAGATAATACCTTCCTAATAACTCTGGTATTACATAAGAAAACAAAATCAAAATTTCAGAGAAGCTTAGAAACTAAAAATTTTAAAAATATTATTCTGTCCTCCATATGTTCATATTTAATATTATTTCTTGCTTTCATTCTTCTTCAGTGTTGCTCTACTAAAATATAACATACAATAGTTACTTTTGATTTCTGTTCTTATTACTCAAAATTTTATACATTTTCTCATGCTCTTCATTTAGCTATGCTACTTTTCTTTACTCCTGGAATTTTCACATTTGTGTTCACTCTCTTTTGAGTTCCCATAGTATCAAATAAGCTGTTTGCCCTCTTTCTGATTTGAAGGTTCATCTTCTCATAATTATTTTGTCCATTCAGTTTCTTTTCATTCTCAGTTAAGTGCCTCTCATCTGGCTTCTTTTCATTTGTAAGGTTTCCTTTCATCTTAAGCCAGTCTTTTATTTATATTTTGATTCTGTTTTTTGGAGGACATGCTTCCCTGAATTTTAAGGGAGAGGCCAAAAGGTTTGTTCAAGTTTTTACCTGACACATTGGATTAAATTATCTAATGTACACACCCTTAATTTAAGTCTAGGGGCGACTGTGTCTACTCTCGATTTTGTATAGTATTATTTTTCTTAACATCCAAGTCCATCTTCATCTATTTGTATATGATCAATAAAAATATATTTGTCCAGAACCCTGCTTTGGTGGAGTTACTTCTTTCTAAGTAGGAGAGGTAGCAGTTGAGACATGAGCTGGGTTCTGGGTCAGTTTAGAGGGCTGGGCGACATTCCTCCTTTTGGTCTGTATGACTGAATGAATGCGGTTCTTGCTGTCTCGCTCCTCTCCTTAACACATTGAGCCATTGCAGCAGATGAGAAGGAATAATCCTGATCTGCCATTCAGGTGGAACACTTTTCTCTCCAACCACATCCATAGGTTGTACTCACACTCGGCCAGAATGTATCCTGTCAATCATATGGAGATGTATCTAGCTATCTAGATAGATATCTACTTTGGTTTATGCTCTCTGGTTGCCCGTAAATTATCTCCTTAAAGTGAATATCAAAAGAGAGCTTGGTGATGGCAGTGTTATAAAATCCTCAAATGCAGCACCCACACGCAGAGGAATTTGTAGATTCTGGGATTCTAATTCAGATACCAAACTACATAAAACGGGCATTGGTCATTGAGGGTTGCTAGGCTCTTTGTGGAGCATATTTGCTCTTTTCATGACTTTAAAATTATTTTAAAAATCTAACCTTTTTCTCAGTGTGCTGCAAGATGATTTGATTTTAATGCACAAGCACTAATTCTCCCCTAAGGTTTGTACAATATATTTGCTCTGACAAGCCATAGTCAGCAACTCACTTCACAGCAATTTATAGCATTTCCACGACAATTTGAATTATTTTTAACTAGACTCTCTTTGCCTTAATAAAAATATGAAGAAACAATATACTTGTTCTAGTTAGGTTCAAAAGTTGGCAGTCTCTCTCCTGGAAAGAATAATAAAACTTTTCAGCGGCCTAATATGCATCTATAGACACACACACATGCAAGCACTATTCATAATATTTAAAGCACATTCTGTTCTATGACTTCATTTGTCTAGCACAAAATAAAACGATCTCAGTATATGTCAAGTACCAATTTTTTTCGTATGGCCAATTATAGGTATTTTATTTTTTTAAAGATTAGAGTGTTCTTGAAGCTCTTTCTATTTCTTTGTCAATGAACTAAACATTGGCAAATATGTAGGGTTTCCCACATAAGAACATTATTAACATCAAAATAGAAAGCTGGTGGCAGAAATAATGATTGGGAACACAGAGTCTCTACTCAGCGTTCTACTTCTGCCATACCATAACTTTGTGATCTCACGAAATATCTCTCCATGTTCTCATCCCTATGTATAGTTCTGTCATTTTTCAATAAGAGCTTTTTGCTTAATTATGAAGTACTAGTTACTATACCCATTATTTTGAGCTTCATGTAAATCAAGAACACACGGACTCCACTTGCAAAACATTGAAAATGTAGTTAGGGATTGGGGGCACAAAGCAACATTTTAAAATGTGTAAAGACAATGAGTAAGCAACAAAGTGTCCAATTTTTTAGGTGAAAGTTGCATACGTCAGGAAAAGCCAGGATTAAGTAACAGAGAATTTGAACGATAACTGGCCAATTGGTGTCGTTTACAATTGCAAGTCATACAAATGAAGTTTGCTTTTTAAAGAGAAAAGGAGTTAGTTAGAATGGGTCAACCTATTGGGGAAGCAATGTAGTTAGAGACAATGCCCAAAACCATGTGAGCAAATGCTCTGTAGAGCGCACCCCTGCAATGCTGCCATTGTGAGGCCAAGTCTCTCCTTGTCTTGGTACTGAGCCCTCCATTCTGTCTCCATCATTGCCACTGTAGCTGCCACAAAATGATCCCTCAACCACCGCTGCCCAGGAACAAAGAAAGAATTCTGTCCTTCTGCGCTCTCAGATCAATTTCCAACATCAGGTGAGACTTTGATGGGCACTATTCAGTTCCCATATCCCTGAAATAGATGCAGTAAAAACAGAAACTGCCTATGTGTTTCCCAATAAGACACATATGGAAGCCTGTTTTCCCACGACAGGAAGGGGTTTCCACGATGGGTGCTCAAAGGAACAATATTCCCTGTAAACCATACTTTGCCCATATGAAGAAGAGCAATAAGGATTATTTAGTAAATAGACATGGAAACTCATCCAGGGTTGGCTGATGAGAAGCTGGTTAGCAAGGGGTGTGTCTTCAGTTAGGACAAGGTCTGTGCTTCCCACGGGTTCTCTCCACAGCAGGAGGGATGCAATCTTCCCTTTCCTCCCCTGCACCTACCCTCAAATGGCCCAGAGGTCTTCAGGAGCTAGAATTTCTCAATTAATGCTGCACAAAATAACAGACAGCCTTGACTGGCACTGTCTGTTCTCATGAAGCTAGTCTCTGCTTACTACATAAAACAGAAGTGTAAGAACAAGGGTGTTAAACACTACCCTAGCTCAAACAAGTTTCTCTCTGTAGGATGCCAAGAACCTGGGAACCAGTGCATCTGTTGCTTTCCCTTCTCAGATTCTAGCCCAGACACAAGAGGCAAGGGGCATTTCTTCAGAGGCCTTGAGCTTCACTACACAATGACCCAGGCTCTACATGCACCCTCTTTATATATTTCTACCTCGAAAAAAATTTTTATATAATATTAATAATATATATTTTTACATAAGGAACACATATGTTTATTTTATAGATACATATAGATATACATAGATAAAGATCTCTAGTCTGCCTTTTTGAAGGCTGGGCTGATCGCGGTGCCCCAAAACTATAATCCCAGCACTTTGGGAGGCCAAGGTGGCCAGATCTCTTGAGTCCAGGAGATGGAGATCAGCCAGGGCAACATGGTGAAACCCTATCTTTACAAAAATTAGCTAGTATGGTGTCATGCACTTGCAGTCCCTGCTACTCAGGAGACTGAGGTGGGAGAATCGCTTGAACACAGTATGTGAAGGCTTCAGTGAGCTCTGATCACATGACTGCACTCCATCTTGGGTGACAAAGTGAGACCCTCTCTCAAAATAAAATAAAATAAAAAGGCTACCACCATACTCACAGTTAAGTGTGTCAGGTATATTTGCAGCTATCTTTCCTATATTCTATTTGGTAAAAAAAAAAAATTGCAAAGAACTCTTCTCATTCTAGATTTTTGTATTAATTAGACATTTTAAGTTTATAGCAGAAGAGCTATAATCATGTTTGGTATGTGTACTCTATAGACCAGATAGTGCACACATATATCAATGCTTTTTAAAAGTATATAAGGTTATTAGAAATATTTTAAAATACCTATAGGTATATATGTATCTAGTTGAACTATCAAATGCAAGTAAGATCATTTCCTTAGCGTGTGAAATGCACTCAATTTATTAAAATATTTTCTAATGTCTATTACAATAACATTTCTTAATTAGCTAACATAAGAGGAGTTTTGAGACATTTATTTATATGTACTTACTAGATTCAAACTCGATTCCACTATTTTCAGAAATCATGCTCCGAGACAAGTCCTTTTTTTATCTAACTATGTTTCTACCTATATTAAAAGACAGATATGTCAATTTTGCTAATCATGCTGTTCCAAACCTCTCCATCCTATTTTTCGGTTTGTTCTATCAGTCATTCAAAGACTTACTTATATTCAAATTTCTCTCTAGGTTTAACATTTGTGTATGTCTTCTTGTGTTTTTTTCTATTTTTGCTGTATATAATTTAAGACATTTATTGACATATATCATACATGCAGAAAAGTACAATGATTAAATATGGATAGCTTCATTAATGAAACACATGTATTTGCTTATAACCATGTATGAAAATAGAACATTACTAAAAATAGAGATACTTCTCCTGCCCCTTTCCAAACACTAACCCTCATCCTCAATAGTAACAAATTTTATCATAGAGTAATTTGGTCTATTTTCAAATTTTTATTAAATAAATCAGAGTATCTACTCTAAGTCTATGTTTCTTTCACTGTTGTTATTTTGCTTATAGTATTTATCTGCTAATGGACATGGTAGATTAAAGACGGCTACATACACATTTTTTAATTAATAGATTTTTTGAGCACTCTGTGGCTCATGCCTCTAATCCCACCACTTTGGGAGGCTGAGGTGCATGGATCATGAGGTCAGGAGATCGAGACCATCCTGGCCAACGTGGTAAAACCCCTTCTCTACTAAAATACAAAAAATTAGCTGATAGATAACATCAAGATAACATGTGGGTTCTTAGCTGCACTGAGTCAAGCCTACTTACATCTTTGTTTGTCTTCCTCTGCACTTTTCCTTCCACATCACATTCCAGGAATGCCAAGCTGTGCTGGCCTTCTACCCCATTTCGACTATTTTGCCCCAGCATACGCGGCTTTTTGCTGCCGTGTATTTTTGACCCCGCCGCTGCGGGTTTTTGCGGCTTTATGCCCCCGCCGCCATTGCTTTCTGCCCCCGCTGCCGCGGCTTTCTGCCCCCGGCCTCGCGGAATTTAGCCCCTGCTGCCGCGGCTTTTTGGGGCTTTTTGCCCCCACCGCCGCCGCGGCTTTTTGCCGCCGCAGCTTTTTGCGTCTTTCTTCCCCCGCCATCGCGGCTTTTTGCCCCTGAAGCCACGGAGTTTTACCCTCGTCGCGGCGGCTTTTTGCGGCTATTTTCCCCCTGCTGCCGCAGCTTTTTGCCCCCGCCACCGTGAATTTTTCTGCCGTGGTTTTTTGTAACCGCCGCCGCGGCTTTTTATGGCTTTTGGCCCCCGGCGCCGCGGCTTTTTACTGCTTTTCTCCCCCCGCCGCCTCAGGTTTTTCCCGCCGCGGCTTCTTGCCCCGCCGCCACGGCTTGTTGTGGCTTTTTGCCGCCGCGGGTTTTGGCCCCCGCCACCGCGGCTTTTCACGCATTTTCGCCACCTCCACCGCGGCTTTTTTCGCCTGCCGCCGCAGGTTTTTCCTACCGCGGCTTCTTGCCCCCACTGCCAGGGTTTTTTGCGGCTTTTTGCCCCCGCCACTGCAGCTTTTTGCCCCCGCCGCCGCGACTTTTTATCACCCCAGCCGATTTTTGCCCCCGCCGCCACGGGTTTTTGCCCCTGCCGCCTAGCGTTTTTGCGGCTTCATGTCCCCGCCGTCATGGCTTTTTGCCGCCCCTGCTTTTTGCCCCCTTTGCCGCGGCTTTTTCCGTATTTTTACCCCCTCCGCCGCGGCTTTTTGCGGATTTTGGCACCGGACGCTGCGGCTTCTTGAGGCTTTTTGCCGCCGCCGCCCCCTTTTGCCCCCGCCGCGCCTTTTTGCCCCCCGCCGCCGCATCTTTTTGCCGCCGTGGCTTCTTATCCTGCCACCGCGGCTTCTTGCCCCAGCCGTCGCGGCTTTCTGCCCATGACGCTGCGGCTTTTTACGGCTTTTTGCCCCCGTCACCGCGGCTTTTTGCCCCCGCCACCACAACTTTTTGTCGCCGCGCTGTTTGCCTCGGCCTCCGTGGCTTGTTGTCCCCGCCGCCATGGCTTGTTGCCCCCGTTTCCCCGGCTTTTTCCCCCACTGCCCCGGCTTTTTGTCCCCACCGTTGCGGCATTTTGCGCCCGCCGCCGCGGCTTTTTGCAGCTTTTTGCCTCCGCTGCCGTGGCTTTTTGCCCTCATCACCGCGGCTTTTTCCCCACCGCCGCAGCTTTTTGCCGACGTGGCTTTTTACTCCCGCCGCCACAGGTTTTTACTGCTGCGGCTTTTTCACCTCGCCATCATGGGTTTTTGCCCCCACCGCCGTGGATTTTTGCTCCCACCGCCGCGGGTCTGAGGGCGGGATCAGCAGACTCGGCTGCCAGATCTACCAGCGTCCTGGCTAATGCAGCGCAGAGGGTCACTCCTGGTCCAGCTCTCCCGGTTCCGGGGTTCCTTGCCTAGACACCTGTGCCCCAGGCTCTGTTCCTGGGCCGCTGAAGCCTGCATACAGCGGCGCTGCGCTCGGCCCCGATGGGAGAGAAGAAGGAGAGAGAGGTGGAGGGGGTGACGCGGCTATCCCGGAGGGAGGCGCAGGGGCTGCAGCCAGCCGGGTGCTGCAGCAGTGCGGGCAGCTCCAGAAGCTCATCGGCATCTCCGTTGGCAGCCTGCGCAGGTTGCGCACCAAGTGCGCTGTGTCCAAGGACCTCACGAAGCAGGAGATACGGACCGTGCAGGTAAGGTGGTCGGGGACCAGGGCTGGGCTCCAGCACCGGACTGGACATCTCCCTTTGGGGTCCCAGTTCACTCCTGGCCGAGTTGCATCCTTGAGCCTGCGTCACCCCCTTGGAGGCTTCCCCTCCCTCCTGCACTCGCTGATGCGGCAGCCAGAGGACCCGGGACAAGCCCTCACCTTGGGCAGTATTTGTGGGGTGGGTGCGTGTTGGGAACTGTGATGGAGGCTCCAGGGGCCCGTGGGCGGGGTGGGCTGTGTGCGGACCTCCCCTTACGCCCCGAATTTCCATCTGGTGCAGCCTTCTCATCTTGTAGGTGAGGAAAACGAAGGCCTGAGGGAGAAATGACTTGCCAGGAACCCCTGTTAAGGAAAATTAACAAAGTGTGGATATCAAAGGAGAACTGAGTTCGGATTCAGACCTGGAGTCTGAATTAGAGATGGTTATTAATTTTTTCCTCTTATTTGTATTGTTCAATGTAGTAAATACTAGCTGTATATGGCTACTTCAATTCAAATTAATTACAATGAAATATACTTAAATATTGAATTTTTAGTCACTCTTGGTTCATTATTGAATATCTTCAGCTAAGATTTCCCAAGTAAAGACACTAAGAGGTGGCTTAGTTAACTGGTCGTCCACAAATATTGAAGCTGTTGTTAACTCCTGATATATTCTCTGCAAAGAGAATATTCATGAGCCTCCTCCTGAAATCAGCAGCCTAGAGATAGTTTTATAAATTGGATACAAGTTGGAAATCTATATACTCTGTAAGTGTTTGAAATATTAGCTTCCCAGGGAATAAAATCAAATTCATAAGATATGTTAGGACAATTTAACTCAAGATGTTCAAAACTGAAATGACATATTCTACAACATGTGATAAAACCACCCCCTAACAACTTAAAGCAAAACAGGGATTGATCTTAAAGACCTGCCTTTTCCTCATCCCCCAGCCAATCAGTTTTCAAATCTTGCATTTTATTTCGAAAGGTCCTTATCCCCCTGGTCTCTTGTTTCTAGACTTGGCACATATTTAATTTTGTTACCTCTCTCTACTGACTTTTCTCTCTTCAAACAGTATCTATACCTGCCAAATGTGAACATACAAAAAACAAATCAGAATGTGCCATTCTGATTTAAACTGCTTATTAGTTAAAAACCTCAAGATAACATCTGGGTTCTTAGCTGCAATGAGTCAAGCCTACTTACATCTTTTTTTGTCTTTGGCTACACATTTCCTATCACATCACACTCCAGCAATGCCAAGCAGTGCTGGCCTACTACCCCCTCTCCATTATTTTGCCCTCCGCCGCCGAGTCTTTTTGCTCTCCCGCCGCCGCGGCTTTCTCCCCCCAGCCGCCGCGGCTTTTTGCCCCCACTCCGCCTTGCCTTTTTGTCCACCCAGGCTTTGTGCCCCCTCGACGCCGCGGGTTTTTGCCCACCGTGGCTTTTGCCCACCCCCGCCGCGGCTTTTTGCCTGCTGCCGCTTTTTATCCCCCACCGCGGCTTTTTGACCCCTGCCGCAGGGACTTTTTACCCGCGGCGGCTTTTTGCTCCCCGCTGCCACGGCATTTTTTTTCCGCCGCGGCTTTTTGCGCCCCCGCCGCAGCAGCTTTTTGCCCCCCCGTTGCCGCGGCTTTTTGCCCCGCCCACGGCGCCGCGGGTTTTTGCACACCGCGGCTTTTTGCCTCCACCCATGCCGCGGTTATTTGTCCGCTGCGGCTTTTTGCACCCCCGCCGCCGCGGCTTTTTGACCCCCTGGCACTGCAGCTTTTTGCCCGCCCTGGCTATTTGTCCCCCCGCCGCCACGAGTTGTTCAGCACCCCGGGTTTTTTCCACCCCTGCGCCGTGGCTTTTTGCCTGCCGCGGCTTTCTGCCCCACCGCCGCCGCGGTTTTTGCCCCCACCCCGCCTCGGCTTTTTGCCCTCCGCGGCTTTCTGCCCCCACCCGCCGCCGCGGCTTTTTGCCCCCACCCTGCCTCGGCTTTTTGCCCGCCGCGGCTATTTGTCCCCCACCGCCGCGACTTTTTGCCCTCCGCCGCTGCGGCTTTTTGCCCCCCGCCGCCGCCGCGGCTTTTTCCCGACCCATCTTTTTGCCCCACCGCCGCCACAGCTTTTTGCACCCCTGCTGCCGTGGCTTTTTGCCATCGCGGCTTTTTGCCCGCCGCGGCTTTTTACCCGCCGGGGCTTTTTACCCGCCGGGGCTTTTTGCCCGCCGCGGCTTTTTGCCGCCGCGGCTTTCTGCTCCCCCGGCCGCCGCCGCTGCTTTTTGCCCCACCGCCGCCGTGGGTTTTTACCCGCCGGGGCTTTTTGCCCCCGGCTTCCGCGGCTTTTTCCCCGGCAGGGCTTTTTGCCCCCCGCTGTCGCGGCTTTTTGCCGCCCCGCCGCCGCGACTTTTTCCCCGCCGCGACTTTTTGCCCCCGCCACTGCGGCTTTTTGCAGCCGCGACTTTTAGGCACTGTCACCGCCACTTTTTGCCCCCGCCGCAGCGGCTTTTTGTCCCCGCCGCCATGGCTTTTTGCCGCCGCGAGTTTTTGCCCCTGTCGCCGCCACTTTTTGCCACCGTGACTTTTTGCCCCCGCCGCCGAGGATTTTTGTCCCCGCCGCCGCGGCTCTGAGGGCGGGAGCAGCAGACTCGGCTGCCAGCTCTACTGGCATCCTGGCAAGGGCAGCGCCGAGGGCTGCTCCTGGTCCAGCTCTCCTGGCTCAGTGGTTCCTTGCCTAGGCGCGGGCGCCCCGGGCTCCCTGCCTAGGCCCCTGTGGCCTGCATAGAGCAGCGTTGCGCGCAGAGGCCATGGGAGAGAAGGAGGGCGGTGGCGGGGGTGATGCGGCGGCCACCGAGGGTGGCGCAGGGGCTGGGGCCACCCGAGCGCTGCAGCAGTGCGGGCAGCTCCAGAAGCTCATCGTCATCTTCACTGGCAGCCTTTGCGGGCTATGCACCAAGTGTGCTGTGTCCAACGACCTCACCCAGCAGGAGATACAGACCCTGGAGGTAAGGGGTTCGGGGACCCGGGCTGGGCTCCAGGAGCGGCTCGAACACCTCCTTCGGGGCCCCAGTTTACTCCTGGCCGAGTTGCATCCTTGAGCCCACGTCACCCCCTTGGAAGCTTCCCCTCACTCCTGCACTCGCTGATGCGGCAGCCAGAGGACCCGGGACCAGCCCTCACCTTGGGCAGGATTTGTGGAGCGGATGCGTGGTGGGAACTGGGATGGAGGCTCCAGGGTCCCGTGGGGGTGGAGGTGGGCGTGGGCTGCGCGCTGACATCCCCTTACCCCCTGAATTTCCATCTGGTCCAGCCCTCTCATCTTGTAGGTGAGGAAACCAAAGGCCTGAGGGAGAACTGACTTGCCAGGAACCCCTGTTAAGGAAAATTAACAAAGTGTGGTTGTTAAAGAAGAACTGAATTGGGAGTCAGAACTAGAGGCCCGCACCCTTGGTTAAGACATTATACCACCTTCAGTCTGGCCTGTTGACTGAGGGTGAGCCACTCCATCCTCGTCTGATTGTGGGGTCTTAACATCAAGCGGTTTCCTGCAGGAAGAAGCAAATCGGTTTGCTTTCCTAGCTCTGTCCAGTACGTTAGGGACCCTGAGGACTGAAGAGATTCTTGGAGAGCCATCTGGTGTATGTCATGGGTGGGTCGTATTTGAAGGTCAGTCTGCCCAGTGGGCTGGCTCAGCCCAAATGAACTGTCTTGAATCTTTGGAGTTGTCTGTGTACTTTTAAGGGCTTCTCAGCCTTGCACCAAAAGATCCCCCTGGAAATTAGGTGGGAAAAACCTTAACTTTTGTGGGGCCTTGTGTTTGTCTTAAAAGTTCATGCACATAGCCAGGTGTGGTGGTTCCCACCTGTTATCCTTTCCTGGATACCTTGAGTCAAGGGGTTTGGGACCAACCTGGACAATATAGTGAGACCCCATCTCTACAAAAAATAAAATATTAGCCAGGGGTGGTTGTGTGCATCTGTAGTCCCAGCTACTACTGTGGCTGAGGCGGGAGGAGCACTTGATCCTGCACTGAGCTCTGATCTCACCAGTGTACTCCAGCCTGGGCCACAGAGCAAGACTGTGACTCAAAAAAAAAAAGACAAGAAAAATTCTTGAAGATTTTGCATTCTGTCCCACTATCCATTGGTTTTCATGTCAAGATAATGTCAGAAATTCTTTACAATTGCTTCCAGAAGGAGTAGCCTTTTGATCTAGTGCACAGGTGTCCAGTCTTTTGGCTTCTCAGGGCCACATTGGAAGAAGAATGCTCCTGGGCCACACATAAAATACACTAATGCTAACAACAGCTGATGGGATTAAAAAAAAAAAGGTTTGTGCATAATTTTCATGATACCCAACACCACAGATAGGTGGAAAAGTCCTTGTAGTCAAAGGGTTGGACACGGCTGATCTAGTGTCTTGTCGTCCGTTTTGGCTTTCTCCCTGATTCCAGAATGCAGGTAGAGATGTAGAGACATGCTCTCAGGACAGCTGTTGAGATAAAAAAATTCGTTGTCATTTATTCCCAAGCACAGCTGTTTCTCATTGCATTGAAAAAGTCTCCATTCAAACTGCTGTCACATATAAAATCTATTTATGTAAGTCTGTATTTTTCTGTTGTCTTGGCCTTTGTAGGCAGTAGTGTGTTTTAACCGAGCAAACTGTCCTTCCAAATAATGAAGCCGAAGTCAGCCTACCTGCTTCCCATTTTTCTTCCCCTTCCATTTTTGTAACCTCGGAATAATTGTAAGAATGAATGAAGATTTGTGTTTGAGGCCAGGCACAGTGTCTCAGGCCTGTAATCTCAGCACTTTGGGCGGCGGAGACGGTTGTATCGCTTGAGCTCAGGAGTTGAATACCAGCCTAGGCAACATACTGAGACTCCGTCTTGTATAATTAAATTAAAATTTAAAAAAAGAAGAGAAAAAGACCTCTGTTAAAAATTTAAAAAAAGGGGAGAAAGTGTAATGCAAAATGTGGACTATGCCAGCTATGATTGGGAAAACTAGTTTTTCATACAGCATTATCTGTAGACTTGTATTAGCAGCATACTCGTCATAAGGGTTTTGCTTTCCTCAAATATGATGAGGTAAGCTAATTTAAAGTGTGTTGGGGCTTTCTGCCGCGTGGCTCCTGGAGGTGTTGAGTCCCAATTTAGCCAATTAATTTGGGTTTAGTTTTGACATGGATAAGGGAGACCAGCTTCATTCATGGTGTACATACAGTTTTGCCAATAAGGAAAAATAAAAAGCCACCTGAATATTCCTACTCATTAGATGCTATCTGGAGAGCTCCTTCCCCACCCCCACCAAGGCCTGGGCCATTAAAAAGATTTAATGCAAACTTTCTGTATCTCATACTGTATTCTGCAAGATACTCCTGTGAAAGAAAGTTGTGCTGCATCAGCCATCTCCCTCCTGAAGATCCCTGCGGATGAGGATTTGTGTTTTGAAGGTTCTGAGAATTCCTGCAACAACAATTCTCAAACTTATTTGTCCATGGGATCTTTTCTTCCACTGAATGTAGTTGCGGAGACACGGCCTTAAACCTTGAGCAGAGAAAGAGACAAGAAACTGTTGGCTCACTTACAACCAAGTGTTGTGTTTATGTTTTAGGTTTTTATGATACTGAGGTGCTGTTTGAGGTTCTACATGAAATTGGGTGGTTGGAGAGAGGCTGGTATCCCTGTAGACTTAGCCAGCCATGAAAAGTTGCCTTTTGTTGAAGGAGGTGTTTTACAAAGGGAAATAGGGTGTCTCCTGGGCATCGCATTAGCACTTAAATTCATGTATCACTGAAATGAAATGAAATGATGAAATGATGAAATGAAATGATGAAATGATGGAATGAAACGAAATGATGAAATGAAGTGAAACAGTGAGATGAAATGATGAAACGATGAAATGAAATGATGACATGATGACATGAAACGGTGAAATGAAATGAAATGAAATAATGAAATGAAATAATGAAGTGAAATGAAATGAAATGATGAAATGATGAAACGAAATGAAAAGATGAAATGATGAATTGAGGAAATGATATGAAATGATGAAATGAAATGTAATGATGAAATGAAGTGAATGATGAAATGATGAAATAATGAAATGAAATGATGAATTGATGAAATGAAACGATGAAATGAGATGAAAAGGTGAAATGAAACGAAATGATTAAATGAAATGAGGAGATGAAAAGATGAAATGAAATGATGAAATGATGAGACAAAAAGATGAAATGAGATGAAATGATGAAATGAAATGAAATCATGAGATGATGAAATGAGGTGAAGTGAAATGATGAAATGATGAAATGACGAAATGGAACAATGAGAAGAAATGATGAAATGAAATAATGAAATGATGAAAGGATGAAATGAAATGATGAAATGAGGAAATGAAATTAAATGAAATGGTGAAGTGAAATGATGAAATGATGGAATGAAAAGATGAAGTGATGAAATGATATGAAATGATGAAATGATGACATGAAGTCAAATGATGAAATGATGAAATAAATGAAATGAAATGATGAAATGAAATGAGATGAAATGATGAAAAGAAATGAAACAATGAAATGTACTGAAATGAAATGAGATGAAATGTTGAGATGAAATGATGAATTGATGAAATGAAATGAGATGAAAAGATGAAATGATGAAATGAAATGATGAGATGAAAAGATGAAATGATGAGATGAAATGAAGTGATGAGATTAAATGATGAGATGAAGTGAAATGATAAAATGAAATGAAATGTTGAGATGAAATGATGAAATGAAATGAAAGAATGAAATGAAATAAAATGATGAGATGAAATGAAATCATGACATGAAATGATGAAATGATGAGATGAAGTGAAATGATGAAATGAAATGTTGAGATGAAATGATGAAATGAAATGAAAGAATGAAATAAAATGATAAAATGATGAGATGAAATTATGAGATGAAATGATGAAATGATGAAATGAAAAGATGAAATGAAATGATGAAATGAGGAAATGAGATGAAATGATGAAATGATGAAATGGAAGGATGAAATGAAATGATGAAATAAGGAAATGAAATAATGAAATAAAATGATGAAATAGATGAACCAAAAATACTTATTCATTTTTTTCTTGGCATCCTTCTAAGAGTATTTTACTGAGGTAAATTTCTCAAAATAAATTGCTATTCAATGGCTATACAGTTGGACTTTGCACCACAGGGGTTTGAACTGTGCATGTCCACTTAGCAAAACCAAGAATTCTACATCGTTTTCCACACCCTGCCCATGAAAATGATGAGGATGAAGACCTGTTTGATCATCTACTTCCATTTAATAACTAGTAAATATATTTTCCTTATGATTTTCTTTTTTCTTTTCTCTGGCATGTTTTTAAAGAATACAGTATATAAGACATATACCATATTAAATATGTGTTAATTGTGTTATTTGTAAGGCTTACAGTAGGCTATTAGTACTTAAGTTTTGGGGGAGTCAAAGTTATAGTGGATTTTCTACTGTGCAGGGGGGCCAGCACCCCAACCTCCGTGTTGCTTAAGGGTCAACTGTACGTGTTATTTCCTTTCCTGTGAGAGAAAAATGATGAGAAGGTCTTTTCTCCAATAAGTGTCTTCAAAATGTAGCAGATGTGAAATGTGTTGGCGCCAGCATTTTGCGTCTCACTTTGAAACCTTATTATTTAAAATCGTACTAAAGCCTACCTTACTTTTCCAACCTTAGAAAAAAATGTTCCAAAGAAAAGGGGTGAAACCATGCTAGTTTGCCCTGAAATTTGAAATTATCCTTTAAAAATATATTTTGACATTAATTACTTCCAAAATAGAGATCAGTTGCATACAAATGGCAGGTCACCCTAATCCACCCTATGACTGCACTTAGATTCATGAGGAATTATGCCATCTAGAAAGGGCAGAGAGGATGAATAGAGTGCTCTGCGTCTTGAAATATAAACATGCACATAGCCACATGCTTTGATTCTGTTGTCACTGTGTACTTACTGCTAGGAAGAAGGCATGTTTGTGTATTTTTATGCTAATTATTATCCAAGTTGTTAATGATTTACGCTTTCAGAACCATATAAAGTTTTTTTTCCTTTCAGATATAAACTATCTTGCATTGTTCTTCTGATCATATGAGGGATAAATTTGCCTAAATATTCTTCAGACCATAATAGTATGTCCATATAAATGCCAGTAGCAAGAGTAGAATCAACCACAACTGCCTATGTAATTATTTAAAGCATGTCTGCCTACTAGTAATTGGCATTTTATATAATCAAGAATCTTTGATATAATAATCTCTCAACTATTTTAAACACGGCTCACATGTATTAATTTTCTATGCAAATATATATATATAGTATCAGTGTATATGAAACTAAATTTTGGACTTTAGAACAGCTTCTTAGAATCCTGACTTAAATGTCTACAGTAATAGTTGTCTTAAAAAAATTTAGCACACTGTCACTATGATGAAAAAAGTTACTATAAATTATTTAAAAAATTTTTCCACCCTAACATTTAGAATATTCTCACATTTGTGGTTAAAACCTATTGTGATTGTTCTTAGAATTTAGATAAAAAATGTTCCAGAAAGTTTGAAGAGAAGCACCTTAGTCAATTTATAGATGTTGAAGCAGGAAGATATGGCATTTCATTGACATTTTAAAAATTATTCAGATTCCCTCTTTGAATTCAAATGTTTCAAAGATATCTTATTTTAAAATACCAAAATAGGAATAGAATATGAAGGGCTGGTTATGAGTAATATGATACATTTTTATGAGAGGATGAGATTACAATAACAATACCTCCTCTCATAGAATAGCCAGCAAGTCTCCACTAAATAACAGTGCCTTGATTTTATAGATGTTTAATCATGGATATTGAGTTAATGTGAACCATTTGTAGACACAGGAGTTTATTAAAGAATTATATAATATCTTTCAAGTATTTAGAATAGTGTTGAAATTAAGCCTGCATCCCCACGATTTTCAGCGGTGCTGATGCCTAATTAACTCAACCCCTTGCATGCCAAAATTGGCTTAAAGCCTATCTGTTACCCAAGCTACACTTCAAGCATCAAGGTTCAAAAATGTGATTTTGAATATGCAAGAGTTTGAGGAATTCACTACTCGCACTTTCTTGAACAGTCTATCCAAGTGCATCAAGCAAAATGTGAGTGAAGAAATTTTGACCAATGGATTGATAGTAATGTTGAATACATTTAATAGTAGACCTAAGATTAAAAGGTGAAAGTGAGGGTGAGAAGAGTGTATGAATGCTTTGTGTTCTGACAAAGAGAATGTAGCACCCAGGTCCTACCTGCTTGGATGCATTGCCAGTGCCCACGGTAGGCCATTTTATCCAGGTTTTTAGGTTTTGTTTTGTTTTGTTTTTTTCTTTTCAGGAGAGTTAGTCCAAGACCAATAATTCCATAACTGGTAGATTTGGAAGACTTTAATAGTGCTTAACATTTTGTACATAGCTTTATAACAGTTTTCTTTTTCTTTTTTTCTGAGAGATTCTTTTCAATATACCCCATCATGATTGAACTCAAAAATCATTGGTTATATAAAATCTACAACTGCTGACGTTTTGTAACGTTCACATTCCAGGTAATTGGTTTTTTGTGCATTTTCTGTATTTTTCTCCATCAGTCTAACTAGATATTTGTTAGATTTAATATTTTAATATTTTTCTGAAAACGTGAGCTTTTGCATTATTAAATATATACCCAGTTGCTTTAATTCTGCTTTTTCGTGTACTATTTCCTCGTTTTTGTTTTTTTTAATTTTTTATTTTTTTGACACGGAGTCTTGCTCTGTCGCCCAAGCTGGAGTGCAGTCGCGTGATCTCTACTCACTGCAACTTCCACCCCTCACATTCAAGAAATTCTCCCACCTCAGCCTCCCGAGTAGCTGGGATTACAGATGCATGCCACCATGCCAGGCTAATTTTTGTATATTTAGTAGAGAGTGGGTTTCACCATGTTAGACCAGGCTGGTCTCGAACTCCTGACCTCAGGTGATCCACCTGCCTGGGCCTCCCAAAATGCTGGGATTACAGGCGTGAACAATGGCGCCTGGCTACCTCCTTCATTGTTTATGTTTATTTTACTGGTTTTATCTCTCTCTCTCTCACTGTTTCTCTCCTTCTCAAATTCACTTTGCAGTTGTCAAATAGCGCAGGTGATGTTACAGATTTACTCCTTATAAAAGGAGGCATTACACATTACACATGCATCTTAGTGGCCTTACAAAAGTGTTTGGTTTATTTGTATTGACTATTCACCTTTAAAATATTTCAATATTCATTAAAATAGCTTCCAACCAAAATTATTAGACTTATGTTTCTAGCTTTCGTTTTTGTATTGATATCTGCCTTCATTGCTGTTTGTTTAGGAAATATATTCTGTGTCACGTTATTTCCGTGAAAATTGTTTGAATGTGTGTTATGGTCTAGAAAATGTTAATTTTTGTAAGTATTCTGTATGAACATGGAAATAACATGAATTATAATATTCATGCTCCTTATATAATATTTGCCCTTTTTAAAATCCACTAGCTTCTTTTAAAACTTACTCTTTTAATTTTTTCTTTTATCTATTACTGAAAGACGTGTGTTTGAAATGTCTATAATATTTTGGGGGCTTATCCATTTCTACTTTCTGATATTTTTGCTTTATATAATTTGACTCTCTCTCTAAATACGTGTGTGTCTGTGTGTGTGAGAGAGAGTGTGTGGTTTGTGTATATATATATATGTATCAGGATAATGCACATTTAAGTCATCACATCTTCCTAATAACTTAAAACTTTTATCACACTGGTTAGACTAACTTATTTTAATAAATGTTTCTAACTTACATTCTATTTTGTCTACATAGCAACTTTTTAAAAAATTATATTCATGTAGTATGTTTGTATGTGTATCATATATACACATTATCTGTATTGTTTGAACTTCAAAGTTTCTGTAAATTCATATATTAGTTGCCTCTCTTGTAACTATGATAGAGACGGATGTTTTAAATTTTGCCAATCTTTGTATTTTAACAAAAACATTGTCTACTTAGGTTTAAGTTAATCTTTGATCATTTATACGTAATTTTGTATATTAATTTGTTGTGTATATATATATATAAAATGTCTCATTTTCTCCTATCACTTTCTGTCTTCTTGTTTTAAAATTATGACTTTTATTTTTATTGTTTTCATAGATACAACAGAGAAATGCATAATGTCCAGTCAATTTATTAAAGTTCCAAAGTCGGTCGCGCGCAGTGGCTCACGCCTTTAATCTCAACACTTCGGGATGCCGAGGCGTGTGGATCACGAGGTCAGGAGTTGGAGACTAGCCTGACCAACCTGTTGAAACCCCGTCTCTACTAAAAATACAAAAATTAGCCAGGCATGGTGGCACACGGCTGTAATCCCAGCTACTCAGGAGGCTGAGGCAGGAGAATTGCTTGAACCTGGGAGGCAGAAGTTGCAGTGAGCGGAGATGGCGCCACCGCACTCCAGCCTGGGAGAAAGAGTGAGTGAGACTCCTTCTCAGAAAAAAGAAAAAAAAAAGTGTTGCAAAATCATACCTTTCTGCTCTTGTCAGACAATTAAGGGGTCTTTGAATACTTCAGCCCTAATAATTTGCTTCCTAATATACATATTGCAGTGCTTATCTAATTTTAAATATCCTTTTGTTTCAACACCTAATTTTTTATTTAGAGCTATCTGTATGTTTACAATATATTTTGCTCTGTGTTCATTGTTTGACTTCAGAACTTCAATCTTTCTGAAGCATGTTTTCATAGTTTCTTTTTAGTTTCTTTAGTGGAATTCTGCTGGTGGCATTTTGTTTTTTGTCTCTAAATATGTTATTTAGCCATAGGTTGATGAATATATTTCTTGGTTGAGAATTTCAGAATGGCATTATTATTCTTAACAAATAATATTGTTTATTTTACCTTTCATGCTTTCAGATTTCAATATGATTAAAGGTAATTTGATTTTCCTAGTGCTAATTGAAAAAATTTTTCCCTTCCTGATTGTTTACTATTTCTTTAGGAGATATGTAGATGTAGGTTTCTCTCCATTGTAGCTTGCTTAACATGTATAGAAGTTTTGAATATGCGGATTAGTGTCTTACAAAAGTCTTGAGAAATTTCAGCCAAAATACCATCTCATATTGTCCCTTCCCAGTTCCCGTCTTCTATGAGAACACTCATAATCACATGCTACACTTTCTCACTGTATCTTCCATGTCTCTGCATGATTCTGTCCACATTGTGCATTTTTTAAAATTTTCTGTAATGCATTCTGAAATATTTAGGAACTCTCACCATGGCCATGTGTAATCTGATGAGTTCAGTTTTGAGTTTTTAATTTAAAATACTATATACAAACTACTTTTCAAATTTGCTACATCAATTTTTTAGTCTCCTAAAAATATATTCATTTTTTTAAAAATTTTTTGAAAGCAAATGTGCTTTATAATCTAACAGTGATATTTCTACTAATGAACCTTTGTGGATCTGTTTGTACTCTTTTTCTGCTTTCCTTTCAAATGGTGGAATATCATTTCCTTGCATACTTTGATGCCTTTGAATGACAAAGATTTATTTTTCTCTGAAAATTATTATTGTGCACTTTTGCATATTAGTAAGAAGAAAATTTGCCAAAGAGAATTTGATTTTTTTGTGAGTCTACTAAAGGCACCAGCATTCTGGGACCACATTATATTAATTCTTGACCTAAAGGTGTTTGGACGTATGTTTGGACAGCACATTTAAACAATTTTTAAATTAATTGCTGTAAATCATTAATGATTGAGTTTCTTTAAATCTGTCCAATCTCAAGTCGTTTTTATTTGCCATTTCCAGGGAATGTGAAATGGGACTAATTTACCTCTGATTCTTCTTTATACTGAGGATATAAATTTTGGTGCTAGCTTTAGGGAAGAGCTCCTGTGTGATGCCCTATCTTGGGAAACACTATGTATTTCTTTACTGTCCTATGTGATGTATGACAGTAGGAATCTGCACTCATTCATTTTGCTACATGTCCGTAGGGCAAAATCAGTTTCAGTGTTCAGGTGTATTTTGTCTGCTCCCTGCATTCCCATGGTTTTGGCCTTATATTTTACTTTATTTTGTGAACATACCAATGCTTCAATTTTTTTCCAGTGATATAATCAACTATACTATAAGAAAGAGAAAAATTTTGATAAAACACAAATTTCATGTTTTCCTACCCTAATTGGCTTTTATGTAAAAATACAGGTAAAATTTATTTGTGCTTTTTTGCTCTTTCTGTTTTGCTATTCTCTGTTTGTCTATGTCTTCACCACATAGACACAATTAGGGAATTTTGTACACTCTTGTGCCAACTGCTTTGATGGTAACAAAATGTATTTCTCGAACTCCTAGGTATAAAACTCAAGTATCCACGATTTAAATTCTTTTTTGCTCACTTCTATTATGTTTCCAGTCTCAATAGAAATCGATGCCAATCCAGAAATACAAGCATTATTCTAATACTTCTCACACATTACTGTTATAGATTAAATTTTCTAGATCTCCTTAAATACTATCATTTTTCACTACTTGTATCTTAACTGTTAAGTTCAACATTTTCTATAATATTAATATATTGTGAAAATTTCCTTACTTTCTTATTTGTCCCAGGTTCAATGTTTTGCAGTCTCTACCTCACCCTGTGAAGCATAAACATTGTACATGCTGTACAAATAATACTTCGTTCATGTACTTAGAGACTGCACAGTTTTTATTTGGTTGACAATAGCTAATGTTTTCTTCTTCATTTTCTATTTCCTGATTTTTCTTTATTTAGTATAGACTACATTGTCATACAAATAAGAACGTTTTACATACTAAAGGAAAAGCAACCCTAGGAATAAAATGCACAAATAAAATATATAAACATACATTTAGATGTACCACGTCCCCTTGTAATTTATTTAGACCTTTAATTTTAGTACAATTTTAATTAAAGTCTGTGTAATATCTGTCCTCGTCTTAGTATTTTTTATATAATACATTGTGTAAATCAAAAAGCCTCAATGTCATTATAAACTATCTTGGCAGAGGTTGATCCCCAAGGAATAATTTCTCTCCCAAATTATGCCAACCAGAATTTCACTCTACCGTAATTCTTTTAATCAGTTTCAGAGGAACAATAAATTTCAAAATTGTTCAAGGTACTTCTTTTAGTTCAAATACCTTTTGACAGGTGTAAAACTGTAGACAGACTGATACAAACATATTCTAATTGACTCAAAATTATGCGGGACCTATTTTAAAATCTAGATTTTAAAATGTCGTGTCAACATACACATGTTCTCCTTGTGAAATAATTGCTTTTATTCTCTGGATAGAATAATCTTTAAACCTTCAATTCACTGTTAGAAACAAAATATTACATAAGGATATGCTTATAAAACTAATTCCCAACTAGCTGTTCAATTGAGAAATATCTGTGAAAAATCATCAAACATCTAATGGATTTCAAGGAGAAATGGGTTAGTAATTTATTCCATATGTCTCAATTTTTCCTAGACTCAAGTCTTCCTTTAAAATAATTGTAGGCATTTAAGAAACCATGTAAACTAAAAAGAAGAAATTGTGACACTGCCGCTTAGGTTTTTTAAATCTTTGGACATGATTCAATATATTTTTTAAATTGTATCTTAATTAGACATTGTGAGTTCACCATCTTCCTGTCAGTATAGCATCCAAGTTGATTATCATAGATTGGAAGTTCAACTATCAACTGTGTTCTGAGAGTCTAAAAAAATAAATGAACGTATTTGTTTGGGTATTCTTAAAGCAGTTGTGAGGACACAGCGAAAGTAAGACAAGGAAAAGAGAACAAAATAAAACAGGAAAGATAGAAAAGCCAATACCACACGTGTTAAGAGGTAAGTTCCTGTATTAGATATCTGGACTTAATTTTATGGGAAGCTATGTGGAGCATGCCTAAGAATTACATCACTGAATCCAGGGAGATTCTTCTTAGTTACCCTCACCTTTTCTTCCCACTTGATGCCCAGTAACAAGCTCCCGTGCTGCTAGAGAAAGTCCTCAGCTAGAAACTGGTGCAAATTCTGGAGATGAGACCTTGTAGAGTGTTAAGTATGGTTTTCTTCCCAGTAGCTACAAGTAAGGAATAGGGGCTGGGCTATTAATACATCTGCTACAAACCAATAAAGCCCTTATGCTCCTTTTGGTGATCGACAATGTATTTAAAAATATTAGATGATCAAGAAGGGCTGCAGAAAGGAGGAAACAGAAACAAACAGCACACCTCTTGGTTTATTTTTATTCATTTCATCAGTTTCAAGGAAAATATGTTGGGAGTTCCTGGCATAGAGAATGTCACAAAGACATGTTTTCAATAGTAGTGCTATCCCTAGGGCAGAGAAGACCCAGAGAAAGCCCAAGTGGCTGCTGGAACAAAGTCAGACACCATGCCAGCTGTCCACACTCCTTGGCTCTGCCATCATGCTGAAGATCGCTTTAAAGGACTGGCTTCCCTCCCCCGAAAATTAAAAGAGCACAGACTGAGAAACTGAATGTGGGAGAAAGCAGTGGATTATGCTGTTCTCAGGGGTCACCTCAGGTTTGGAAGCATTCTTTCAAATTAACCCATCTCAGGCCATCTGCAGAGAAGAAAGGTGGTACCTAACTTTTTTTCTTGTCAGCATTTGGTAGGGGTGTTTTATTGACCAAATATGTTCCCACAACCTAGTTTTTTGTGACTAACTAAATATAGTAGAGTTTTAAATTTTATCATCAAAATCTATAGACAATTTTTGTTGAAAATAGACTCCATATCTATGTCCTGCTTTTCTTCTTCTTATTAATTACATTGCTGTATAAAAGAACAAGGCTTCAGAATGAAGATTATCTTGTCTCTTGGCATTGAATTTATACAAGGTACTCTTTCTTTAAGGCTGTCTCAAAGGACATATTTTTACTCATTAAAAAGGAAGATCGGAATCTAGTTGTATGCACTGCTCCAACATATTAATAATTAAAATTAGGAGGTAAATGAGTTCAAAGCTATAGAAAGACTGAGATGTCATTTATATTGATTACTGTATAGCACTCTACAAACAGAAATTGTTAAATAATAGTTTATATAAATATTTTGTAGCATTTCAAATATTTGAGTGCTTGAAGTTTCTCCTCTTGTATAGTTCAGATTATCAATTTGAAGACTTATTCCGCTAGTTAATATGTTTTTAGTCTCGTTTGAGTATTATATAAAAGCAATTTTCAGTTAAATGGATTTCGCTTACATAAAACGTTACAAATTATTGACGATTTAATTACTTATTCATGTTCCTGTAATGTCTTTAGAATATTTTATTATTATTACCTATCAATATATGTATGCTTTGTCAAAGAAAAATCAAACATATATATCATTGAAATTGAAACTTTTTAAAAGTGCTTATTAATTCTATTGAAAAACCACATCCATAGGAAAAATTACAATATAATATTGTGAACATGTAAACATATACCCTATGTCTGTTTTATGTATAAGCATATATGATTAAAAATATAGTGAAGAATTTTTAAACCTAGTAATATAAGTAAAAATTAGTTAACTTCTGATGATTATTTGTTAATTAAGATAAAATTATTTTGATTTGGGTGATTTTAAATAACGAAAAATATTAAATTGCATGACAAAAATTCTTTATAAAATGTTTATGATTTTTACATTGGTTTTATCACTTTATTCCACTATTTTATTTTAAGATGACCTGTCTTGTTTAAAACACTGTATTCATCTTAATTAAATTAAATTTCATTTGTAAAAAAATTAAGAAATGATTTGCTCTATTGTACAGTGTGGTTATAACCTGAGTCAGTATCTCAAGATTTGATCCCCATTATCAACATCTGTGGCCCCATTTGTTTTATAAATGTATTGTCTTTTTCCATGCCTGTCACATCTCTATTGCTCTTTCATTTTTCTCTTTGTCCCTTATAGAGAGCATTGCCTATCTCTAGATTAAGCAAAAGTTGCATCTTAATAAAGCACAATAACCTGCTCAATCTTTCTCACACAGAGAAATGTTTGTTAAGTAATTAACGTGTAGATGATGATACAAAGAGCTTGATTAAATTAGATGCCAAAGTACCCTTGTGATTCAGAATATGAATGGTATTTAATTTCCTTGAAATCATTAATTGCTGAGTGACATTAATTAATGCCAATATTCCAGAAGTTGTTCTAGTTAGTGAAATGTATACAACATGCAAAAGATTCAGAACTCTGAAGGGCAATATTTTTCTATAATTAAGAATTAAGAATTAATTCACATTAAGTATTTGGGAGAAATAATTATT
This sequence comes from Homo sapiens, assembly GCF_000001405.40. Lineage (NCBI taxonomy): Eukaryota > Metazoa > Chordata > Mammalia > Primates > Hominidae > Homo > Homo sapiens. The sequence continues at coordinate 62,395,392 of NC_000007.14, forward strand.
AAGAATTAATGACTGAAAATGTGTTTTTATTTTTTATTTAGAAAATTATTTTGTTCATGAGCATTACCGCAAGTTTTGCAAGAAACATAAATTTAAAGAAACAATTATGTGCACAAGATGAATTTAATAACATCTTGATATTTTCTACGATTACAGTTTTATTTGGTAAATCTTTAAATGCACATCATCTAAAGATAATAAATGAATCTTGGAAATCTTGTAGGTAAGGGTAAATATTAGGATGCATCCAGTTACATTTACACACACATACAGTTACATTTACACACACATACATGCATACAGACTGATACACGTGTGTGTATATATATATATATATATATATATATATATATATATATATGAATTTACCAATTCATTTTAACTAATATTTATAAGAGCCAGTTGGATTGATATATATTGTGGAAATTGAAAAATATTTATTATATACCTGTTTAAAATACACAAAGAAATAAATAATAATTGCACTAGGCATTTGAAACTGTACTAAAATAAAAGCTGTGAACATTTTGTGATCATTGCAAAGTCTTACACTGAATAAATATTTTTAATTTTACAATATTAATATGTTTGATACCTGTGTACATTTTTTACAATGTGTTATTTTATTTTTGTCGTAGAGTCATGTCATGCATAATAACATTTCAGTCAAAGATGGATTACATATACAAAAGTGGTCCCATGAGATTATAATACATATTTTTACATACTTTTCTACGTTTAAGTATGTTTAGATACATAACCTCTTTCCACTGTGTTCTTATTGCCTGCAGTATTCAGTACAGTAAGGTAGTACACGGGTTTGTAGCCTGGGAGAGAGAGGCTATACCATATAACCTAGACGTGGTAGGCTGCACAATCTAGGTGTTTGTAATATTCTCTGTGATGTTTGCAAAATGATGAAATTGCCTATGGATACATCTGTTAGAACGTATCCCTATCACTCAGTGATGTGTGACTGTACTAAAATGCTCAATGTAAGTTTCAATGTCCTCCATAAAATTGTTTTACTGTGAAATACAAATCTGTCACCCATGGCATGAATATGTTTGCAAACTAAGCAGATCATGGGAAGGAGAATGTGCTGGCATCGCTGGGATGATTTTCTCACACTACATGAATAATATCTACAGAATTCGTGAATATGAGCCACTTGCATAGATTTAAAGTAGGCATCTCTTTGCTGGGAAATTTATCAAATGGGAATATGAAGTGTTTTTAAAAGATACTTGTTTGTTTGTAGCTGGTAGGCCTACAGTGGCTCATGGCAATGGTTGAGGTTGCTAAGATTTGGTGGAAGGAGGCAAAATGAAATGGCCACTTATATGGTATATGGTACATGGATCACTTGTTTCTGTTGAGTTACAGACTTAGCTGGCTATTTCTCCCAATGTTAGTTATTTGGAGAAAAAAGAAACGTGATGGTAATTTTGGGGTAACAAATACAATATTTGATGAAAGCAAATTTATTGAGGGTTAGACAAACTACAAGATACTTTAGGCCGCAATGTCAACGCGAGACTTCTGGCCCAAATTGTGCAGAGTTTGCGTCCAGCTGCACAGTTCAAAGGAAGAGGCCATATAAGAGGCTTCTCACTTCTGAAACCAACTGCCAGTTCAGGGGTTTCCCCTGAACACCCTCAGTTTCAAGAATTGACTGGAAAGACTCACAGAACTCATTGAATGCCATTGTACTCATGGTTTATAATAGAGAAAGGGTAGAAATTAGGACCAATTGAAGAGACATATCATAAAAGGTGGAATCTAGGAGATTTTGAATGGTAAGTTTCCCTTGTCTTCAGGACATATTACCTGTCATTGTTGTACAGCAATAAACATGGAGTACTACCAACCTGGGGAGCTCACCTGATGCTAAAAAGACACTATTTAGAAAATGAAAAGACAAATGAAAGGATGAGATAAGATGACCTTACACATTAAGGCACTGGAAAGAATAGCAAACTAAACCTAAAGCAAGCAGAAGGAAGAAAATAAAAATTAGAGAAATTAATAATTTATAATAATAGTATTTGTTAGTGTTGAATAATTGATATTAATTCTTGACCAGCTTTTTTAAAAAAGGGAAATATTCACTTCCCAATTTATTCTGTGGGGCCAGTGTTACCTTGATACAAAGATTAGTCCAAATAGAATAGAAAAATAAAACTACTATAAGTATAAATGCAAAATTCCTTAAAAAATACTAACAAATCAGATCAAAATATAATTTTGGATCTTTCTATTTCACCTTTTATTTCTTTCCTGTTTTACCTCATGTATTTGGAGGTTCTGTTGTTAGCTGCATACCCTAATTAGTAGGATGTTCACATCTTCTTGAGAATTGATTATTCTATTATCTATTATCTCTCATCTCTGATACCATTTCTTGTTCCGAACTCTGTTGTGTCTAATAACAATGTAGTCCTTCCACAGCCTTATTTTAGTGTTTCCATGATATGGCTTTCTCCATATCTTGATGATAACCTATTTATATCTCTATATATTTGGAGCAAGATATAAAATTTTGACTTGATTTTTTAAAGATTTTTCAAGATGTAATTCTTGTTTCTTTTTGTTCTATTTGACATTCTCTGAGTTTCCTATATTTGAAGTTTGATTTTCTGTCACTTCTTTTTAGAATATTTTTGGCAGTTATTTTGAAAAATACTTCTTTTGCTCCATTATTTTTCCCTCTTTTCTTTTTGGGATTTCAATCATAACTAGAGTACGTAATTTCATCTCAGTCTTATGCAGGTACCTTTTCTCAGGGTCTCAGGAATGTAGCCTTCCCACACTTCTGTTCTTTTCCTGGCTGTGTTGGTGAGCTCAGTGATATTCCTCCTTCACCTTCAAGAGCAGTTTTGTTTTGTTTTTCCTGTTTTCATACCTCCAGCATCAGGAGTATTCTAAGTGTGGCAGTTTTTGTTGCCTTCCCCTACATATTAAGTGGAATATCTTGGTCTATTTGGACTCTTATAACAAAATAACATAAACTGAGTGACTAAAAAGCAATAGATATTTCTTTTTTCACACTTCTTGAGGCTGTAAGATCTCAGGTCAAGACGCTCCCCAATTCAGTGTTGATGAGAGCCCATTTCATGTTTCATAGATGGTGCCTTCTTTCTATGTCTTCACATAGTGGAAGGCACACAAGAACTCCATTGAGCTTCTTTTATAAAGACACTAATCCCATTCATAAGGGCTCGGCCCCCAAGACCTGGTCACCTCCCAAGTGTTCTGCTCTCCCTGATCTGTGTCATATACAGACTCTCTTCGATTCCTTACCAATTGCTTGAGAGATAGCAGTGGGTTTGTGGGGAAAAAATTTTCAAGATGATGGATCTTTCCCAACTTCTGCAGCTGTCAGCGGTCTCCCAATCTCACCAGCCCCACTTTGTCTTTAGGAATTTATTGATTTTTCCAGCTTTACTTGTCATAGTGGTGTCTATTTGCATCTGTCCTATGTAAGTGCATCTGTCCCCTTTCTCCTTGCAGGTACAAGTACTCAGGAGTACACTGTTGTTACTAATTATTCAGTATTGGTTGGTACTTTGTCAAAGATCAAAGAACATTTTTAAAGATTAAAAAAATTCTTGGAGGTTGTGTAATGAAGGGTTAATTCTGCAGACATGGCTTTCCAAAACCTTGCGCATTCCAAAGGTCTTCAGGACTGGCCCTTGACAAGCTCCTGGGAGATGATAACCTATGAGCCCTTGGTATACGTTGCCTGATGAGAGTCTTTGTATACCTGAAAACGTAGGTCATATCAAATAGCTGATGCTAACAACGTGATTTCTTGTGAGCACCTGTTTCTGTATGCCTATGACTTTGTGTAATGCTATATTAATATGTACTCTCTTAGGGCATATGGAGGTTGGGAACTAAGTAGCTAAGTTCAGTCACAGGACATTCGATGCATATGTGGTGGAATCCTAATAAAAACCCTGGACTCAAGGCTGACTGAGCTTCCCTAGTTGGCAACAAGTTCACACATGTTGTCTCACACCATTGTAAAGAAAACTAGTCAGTGTGAAGTCCCCACTATGAAAGGACACCTGTAAGCTCACATCTGGTTTGTCCTGGACTCAACTTTATGTGCTTTTATGCTTCTGATTATTTTAATCTGGTTTCTTTCACTGTTAGAAACTATAACCACACAAAAAAATCAGCTTTCTTGGGTTATGTGAATCATTAAACCAAAGGGGGACTTGGGGACCCCCAATAAAATGTATATATATTCTTAGAAAAAGAAAACTGGCTATAGCAGATATTGCTGATGACTTGTCTTCTATGTCCTGGACTCAATGTGTTCACCTGAAATTCACCTGTTTCCAGCTAACTGAGAGCTCCCCACATCATGCCTGTCTTTCTGATTTTTGGGCCTGCCTGTAAGCTTCTTGAGGCTAACCAGTGCTTCTCAACCACACATAGGAACAAAGAATGCGTTAGGGGTGGAGAGTTAATGATTTTAAGGCAATCCTTAAGCAATAAGAGATGGGGATTCCAGCATCCCCATCTCTTTGTAAAGTTATTTTGACACAATCTCCATACCTCCATCATTACTGAGCACATAGCAGTAACTACTCATTCACACTGGCTTCGTGTTCTGTTTCATTTTCTCCACTTCTGTGCTTTCTCACTCAATTTCTGATTAAAGTATCTGACCCCAGATATTTGTTTCATAGTCTATTTTTGAGGGAATCCAGAGCCAAGACAATAACAATGGGAGCTTTGCAATGAGGGAGGGTGAGTATAATCATCAGAAGGTTACCTACCTCACTGGGAACATCAAGGCCTGGAGAGCTTGCTGTTTCAATGAGAGAAACATGTTGAATCTCAGTTCAATACATATATATATATATATATATATATATATATATATGTGCAATAAGACGTGCCCTTTACTTATATCAAAGGAAAGTGCTCTTCACCTCTCTTTGTTGTTGTGTTTTTATCACTATTGCCTACACAAGCAGAATATCATACCCAGGATTTAAAGCCCTCTCTGCAGGATTTTCAAGCTCATGTTTTTATCATAAGTCACTCTGCTTCCATGTGTTTTAAATCTAATCCTCATTCCTCTGCTTTTACACCAGAGTATTCATCACTGACTTATTTTTGACTGACCTCCTTATAGAGCTGTCAAGTACACAATTTCTGCTGTGACCTTTCTCTTAGAGTTCAGTCATATAGCCTCTCACTAGATATAATTTCCTCTTATCTTTCTTAATAATGAATTGTCAGTTAAAACTCAACATTTTTAAGATTGAGCTTACCATCTGCACACACACACACACCATTATTGGTGTATTCTCATAGCCTTGAAACACTAATATCACGTTGATGTCTGCCTTTTCTCTCTCTGCTACCTCATTCCTCATCCTTAGATTATTCTAAAAGATTCAATTAGATAAAGTTGCCTAATTATATTTTTAAGATGCTCTCTCCCCTTCCCAACATTTCGTTTAACAAAATTTAAAAATTTCTGGCAGGAGACTGTTGAAATCCCCATGAATGACTGTGGTTTTACTATTTTACCTTTCAGTTTTAATAGGTTTTCTATTATGTATTTTGAAGTAATGCTATTGTGTGCATACATATTTCTTATTTACATGACTTCTTGGTGTATTTTTCCCTTTGTCATTTTGAAATGTTATTCTTCATCCCCAGTGATATTTCCTGTTCTGATGTCTACTTTGCTCATCACAGTTTTAGGGGTTTTGGTTTGTTTGTTTTTCTATATTTTGGTTCAAGTAAGGTTCTTATAAATCTGTTCGATTCCATTTGATGATTCCATTTGATTCCATTCGAGGATTCCACTCGATTCCATTCAACGATGATTCCATTCGAGTCCATTCAATGATTCCATTCGAGTCCATTTGATGATTCCATTCGATTACATTCGATGATGATTCAATTCGATTTCTTTCTATAATTCTATTCGATTTCATTCGATGATCATTTCATTCTATCCCAATAGATGATGCCATTCGATCCCATTGAATGATTATCCTGTTCGATTCCATTCGATGATGACTCCAATCAATTCCAGTCAATGATGATTCCATTCACGTCCATTAGATGATTCCTTTCGATTCCATTCGATGATGATTCCATTCGTGTCCATTCGATGAATCCATTTGATAAAATTCGATGATGATTTCATTCGATTGCATTTGATGATTCCATTCTATTCCATTCGATGATGATTGCTTTTGAATCCATTCAATGATTCCATTCGAGTCCATTTAATGATTCCATTGGATTCAATTTGATAATGATTAATTTGGATTCCATTCTGTGATTCCATTTGATTCCATTCGTTCATGATTCCAATCGATTCCACTCGATGATGATTAAATTCAATTTCATTCAATGATTCTGTATGATGTCATTTGATGATACATCAATTCTATTCCATTGGATGATTCTATTTGATTCCATTTGATGATGATTTCATTCGATTCCATTCGATGATGATTCCATTTGATTGCATTTGATGATGATTCCATTCTTGTCCATTCGAAGTTTCCATTCGATTACATTGCATGATTATTCCATTCCATTCCATTCGATGATTCCATTCGACTGCCTTCGACGATGATTCCATTTGATGCTATTCGATGATTCCATTAGATTATATTTGATGATGATTCCATTTGACTCCATTTGATGTTTCCATTCGAGTCCATATCATTATCCCATTAGATTCCATTCGATGATGTTTCCATTTGATGACATTCGATAATGTTTGCATTCGAGTCCATTCGATGATGACTGCATTGGTTTCCATTCTATGATTCGAATGGAATCCGAAAGGAATGTAATGGAATCAATGAATGGAATTGAATGGAATCACCAATGAATGGAATGGAATGGAGTCAACATCGAATGGAATCGAATGGAATTATCGAATGGACTCGAATAGAATCATCTTCAACTACAATCATGTGGAATCATCTAATGGGGAAGAATAGAATCATCATCAACTACAATCATGTGGAATCATCTAATGGGGAAGAATAGAATCATCATCGAATGGAATCATTGTCGAATGAAATGGAATGGAATCAATGAATGGAATTGAATGGAATCACCAATGAATGGAATGGGATGGAGTTATCATCTAATGGAATCAAATAGAATCATCGAATGGACTTGAATATAATCATCATTGAATGGAATCGTGTGGAAACATCTAATGGGGAAGAATAGAATCATCATTGAATGGAATCGAATGTAATCATTGTCAAATGGAATGGAATGGAATCAATGAATGGAATTGAATGGAATCACCAATGAATGGAATGGGATGGAGTCATCATGGTGAATGATCCATTCTAATCAAAATTCGAATTCCATCGGAATGGACTCGAATGAAATGGAATGGACTCGAATGGAATGGAATAGAATGGAATCAACATGAGTGCAATGGAATGGAGTGGAATGGATTCGAATGGAATGAAATGGACACGAATGGAATGGAATGGAATGGAACGGAAGAGAATGGAATGGAATGGAATTTACTCACATGCAATGGAATAGACTCGAATGGATTAGAACGAAATAGACTCGAATGGAATGGAATGCAATGGAATGGACTCGAATGGAATACAATGGACTCGAAAGGAATGGTATGCAATGGAATGGAATGGAATCATCAATCATAGATGATTCCAAATGATTCCATTTGATGTTGATTCGATCCATTCCGTTTGATGTTGATTCGATGATGATTACATTAGATTCCATTTGAAGATTCCATTCGAGTCCATTCAATGATTCCATTCGAGTCCATTCAATGATTCCTTTACATTCCATTCGATGATGACTCCATTCGAGTCCATTCAGTGATAATTCCATTTGATTCCATTTGATGATTCCGTTGGATTCCATTGTTTGTTTTATTTTGATTCGTTTTGATGATGATTCCATTCAGTTTCATTTGACGATCCCATTCAATCCTATTCGATGATGTTTCCATTCGATTCCATTTGAAGAAAATTCCATTCAATTCCATTGATGATGATTCCATTCGATTCTATTCGATGCCGATTCTATTCGATTCCCTTTGATGATGATTCCATTTGATTCCATTCGATGATTAAATTTGATTCCATTCAAATGGAATTCGATGCATTCCATTCAATGATGATTCCATTCGAGTACATTCAATGATTCCATTCAAGTCTATTCGAAGATTACTTTCAATCGTCGAATGGCATTCAATGGAATCATCATCAAATGGAATCTAATGGAATCATCGAATGGACTCGAACGGAATCATCATTGAATGGAATCTAATAGAATCATTGAATGGACTCTAATGGAGTCCTCATCGAATGGAATCGAATGGAATCATCGAATGGACACAAATCGAATCATCGAATGGACTCAAAAGGAATCATCATCGAGTGGAATTGAATGAAATCATCAAATGGACTCAAATGCAATCATCAAATGGCCTCAAAGGGAATCATCATCGAATAGAATGGAATGAAATCATCAAATGGACACGAATGGAATCATCATCGAATGGAAATGAATGGAATCATCAAATGGAATCGAATGGAATCATCATCAAATGGAATCAAAAGGAATAATCGAATGGACTTGAACGGAATCATCGAATGGACTCAAATGGAATCATCATCGAACCGAATTGAATGGAATCATTAAATGGACCCGAGAATCATCATCGTATGGAATTGAATGGAATCATTGAATGGACTGGAATGGAATCATCATCAAATGGAATCGAAAGGAATCATGGAATGGAATCGAAAGGAATCATCATCGAATGGAATGGCATGGTATCACCGAATGGCATCAAACGGAATCATCATCGAAAAGAATTGAACGGAATCATCCAATGGACATGAATGGAATCATTATCAAAAGGAATCGAATGGAGACATCGAATGGAATCGAATGCAATCATCACGGAATGGAATTGAATGGAATCATCATCGAATGGAATCGAATGGAACCATTGAATGGAATTGAATGGAACCATTGAATGGAATCGAATGGAATCATGATCGAATGGAGTCAAATGGAATCATCATCGAATGAAATCGAATAGAATCATCATTGAATGGAGTCAAATGGAATCATCATCGAATGGAATCGAATGGAATCACCATCAAATGGAATGTGATGGAATCATCGAATGGACTCGAATGAAATCATTGATTGGAATCGAATGGAATCATCATCGAATGAAATAAAAAAGAACATTCGAATGGACTCCAATAGAATGATCATCGAATGGAATCGAATGAAATCATGGAACACACTCAAATTTAATCATCGAATGGACTCAAATGGAATCAACGTCAAGTGGAATCGAAAGGAAACATCTAATGGACTTGAATGGAATCATTGAAAGAACTCGAATGGAATCATCATCGAATGGAATCAGATGGAATCATCGAATGGACACGAATGGAATCATCATTGAATGGAATCCAGTGGAATCATCGAATGGCATCGAATGGAATCATCATTGAATGGAATCGAATGGAATCATCAGTGAATGTAATCAAATGGAGTCATCGAATGGAGTCCGTTTGAATCATCATCGAATGAAACAGAATGCAGTCATCATCGAATGGAATCGGATGGAATTATCGAATGGGCTCAAATGGAATCATCGAATAGACTCGAAAGCAATCAACGAATGGACTCGAATGGAATCATCATTGAATGGAATAAAAGGGAAACATCGAATGGAATCGAAAGGAATTATCAGTGAGTGGAATCGAATAGAATCATCGAATGGACTCGAATGGAATCATCATTGAATGGAATCGAATGGACACACCTAATGGCATTGCTTGGAAGCATCATCGAATGGAATCAAATGGAATCACTGAATGGCATTGAATGGAATCATCATCCTTGGAATCGAATGAAATCATTGAATGGAATTAATGGAATGATCATCGAATGATATCGAATGGAATCCTCAAATGTAATCAAATGGAATCATCAAAAGGAATTGAACAGAATCATCATCGAATGGAATCAAATGGAATCATCAAATGGAATTGAAAAGAATCATCATCGAATGGAATTGAATGGAATCATCAAATCGAATTGAAGGCAATCATCATCAAATGGAATCAAAGGGAATCATCAAATGGAATTGAAGGCAATCATTGTCAAGTGGAATCGAGTGGAATCATCGAATGGAATTAAATGGAATCAGTGTCGAATGGTATGGAATGGAATCAATGAATGGAATTGAATGGAATCACCAAGGAATTGAATGGAATGGAATCATCATCGAATGGAATCAAGTGGAATCATCGAATGCACTCGAATGGAATCATTATCGAATGGAATCATGTGAAATCATCTAATGGGCACGAATAGAATCATCATCGAATGGAATCGAATGGAATTATCTAATGTACTCGAAAGGAATCGTCATTGAATGGAATAGAATGGAATCATTGAATGGAATCGAAAGGAATGAACATCTTATGGACTCGAGTGGAATCATCGAATGGACTTGAATGTAATCATCGGAGAATGGGAGCAAACGGAATCATCAAATGGACTCGAATGGAATCATCAATGAATGGAATTGAATAGAAACATCAAATGGACTCGAATGGAATAATCATCAAATATCAAAAGCAATCATCAAATGGATTCGAATAGAATCATCGAATGGATTCGAATGGAATCATCATAGAATGGAATCAAATGGAATCATCAAATGGACTCAAATGAAATCATCATCGAATGTAATCAAATGGAATCATCGAATGGAATCGAATGGAATCATCATCAAATGGAATCGAATGGAATCACCTAATGGACTCGAATGGAATCATCATCAAATGGAATCAAATGGTATCATCTAATGCACTCAGAAAGAATCATCATCGAATGAAATCGAATGGAATCACCGAATGGACATGAATGGAATCATCATCGAATAGAATCGAATGGAATCATCGAATGGACTCAAATGGAATATCATCGAATGTGATCAAAGGCATTCATCAAATGGACTCAAATGAAATTTTCGAATGGACTCGATTGGAATCATCGAATGGACTCGATTGGAATAATCGATTGGACTCAGATGGAATTATCGAATTTGCTCAAATGGAATCATCGAATGGAGTTGAATGGATTCATTATCGAATGGAATCAAAGGGAATCATCGAATGGAATCTAAAGGAATCATCGAATGGAATCGATCAGAATCATCATCGAGTAGAAACAAATGGAATCATCAAATGGAATAGAATACTGTCATCATCGAATGGAATCGAATGGAATCATCATCGAATAGAATCAAATGGAATCATCGAATGGAATTGAATGGAATCATCGTCGAAAGTAATCAAATGGAATCATCGAATGGAATCAAACTGAATCATCGAATGGAATTGAATAGAATCAGCATCGAATGTAATTGAACGGAATCAACATCAAATAGAATCGAAAGGAATCATTGAATGGAATCATCACCAAACGGAGTCCAATGGAATCATCAAATGGACTCGAATGGAATCATCATAGAATGGAATTGAATGGAATCATCGAATGGAATCATCATCAAATGGAATCGAATGGTATCATCGAATGCACTCGAATGGAATCATCAATGAATGTTATTGAATGGTATCATCGAATGGACTCGAATGGAATCATTTTCCATTGGCATCGAAAGGGATCACCGAATGGACTCGAATGGAATAATGTTCGAAAGGAATCGAATGGAATCTTTGAATGGAATCGAATGGAATCATCATCGTATTGAATCGAATGGAATCATTGAATGGACTGGAATGGAATCATCATACGGAATCGAATGGAATCAACGAATGGAATCGAATGGAATCATCATCGAATGGAATCAAATCGAATAATCATCGAATGGAATCAAAAAGAATCAACATCAAATGGAGTCGAATGGAAACATCATCGAATGGAATCCAAAGGAATAATCATGGAATTGAACCGAATGGAATCATAATCGAATGGAAGCGAAAGGAGTCGTCATCAAATGGAATTGCATGGAATCATCATCTAATGGAATCAAATGGAATCATTATCAAATGGAATCTAATGGAATCATCGAATGGAATTGAATGGAATCATCATCAAATGAATTGAATGGAATCATCGAATGGTCTCGAATGGAATCATTATCAAATGGAATCGAAAGGAATCACTGAATAGAATCGAATGTAATAATCATTGAATGGACTCAAATGGAATAATCATCATATGGAATTGAACGGAATTATCCAATGGAATCGAAAAGAATCATTGAATGGAGTCAAATGGAATCATTGAATGGACTCGAATGGAATCATCATCAAACGTTATCAAATGGAATCATTGAATGGACTCGAATGGAATAATCATCGAATGGAATCGAAAAGAATCATCATTGGATGGAAATGAATGGAATCATCATCGAATGGAATCAAATGGAATCATCAAATGGAATCAGATGGAATCACCATCGAATGGAATAAAATAGAATCATCGAATGAAATCGAATGGAATCATCATTGAATGGACTCGAATGGAATCATCATCGAATGGACTTGAATGGAATAATCATCCAATGGAATCCAATGGAATCAACATCTAATGGAATAGAATGGTAACACCATCGAATTGAGTCAAATGGAATCCTCATGGAATTGAAAAGAATGGACTCATCATCGAATGGATTCAAATGGAATCATCAAATGGAATTGATTGGAATCATCAGTGAATGGAATCGAAAGGAATCATTGAATGGAATGGAATGGAATCATCATTGAATGGAAACGAATGGAATCATCATAGAATGGAATTGAATGGATTCATCAATAGGAATCAGATGGAATCATCATCGAATGGAATCGAATAGAATCATCGAATGGAATCGAATTGAATCATCATCCAATGGACATGAATGAAATCATCATCGAATGGACTCGAATGAAATCATCATCCAATGGAATCGAATGGAATTTTCGAATGGACACGAATGCAATCATCATTGAAAGGAATCGAATGGAAACACTGAATGGCATGGAATGGAATCATCATCGAATGGAAACTGATAGAATAATCGAATGGACTCGAATGGAATCATTGTATGGAGTCAAATGGAATCATCATCAAATGGAATTGAATGAAATCGTTGAATGGACTCGAATGAAATCATCATCAAATGGAATCCAATGGAATAATCTAATAGACTCGAAAACAATCATCATCGAATGAATTCGAATGGAATCACCGAATGGACACGAAGGGAATCATCATCGTATAGAATCGAATGGAATCACTGAATGGAGTCGAATGGAATATCATCGAATGGAATCAAAAGCAATCATTGAATGGACTCAAAAGGAACTATCGAATGCAATCATCGAATGTACTCAAAAGGAATCATCATCATTTCTCGAACTCCTAAGTATAAAACTCAAGTATCCACAATTTAAATTCTTTTTTGCTCACTTCTATTATGTTTCCAGTCTCAATAGAAATCGATGCCAATCCAGAAATACAAGCATTATTCTAATACTTCTCACACATTACTGATATAGATTAAATTTTCTAGATCTCCTTAAATAGTATCATTTTTCACTACTTGTATCTTAACTGCTAAGTTTAACATTTTCTATAATATTAATAATTTGTGAAAATTTCCTTCCTTTCTTATTTGTCCCAGGTTCAATGTTTTGCAGTCTCTACCTCACCCTGTGAAGCATAAACATTGTACATGCTATACAAATAATACTTCGTTCATGTACTTAGAGATTGCACAATTTTTATTTGGTTGACAATAGCTAATGTTTTCTTCTTCATTTTCTATTTCCTGATTTTTCTTTATTTAGTATAGACTACATTGTCATAAAAATAAGAACGTTTTACAAACTAAAGCAAAAGCAACCCTAGGAATAAAATGCACAAATAAAATATATAAACATACGTTTAGATGTACCACTTACCCTTGTAATTTATTTAGACCTTAAATTTTAGTACAATTTTAATTAAAGTCTGTGTATTATCTGTCATCGTCTTTGTATTTTTTACATAACAAATTTTGTAAATCAAAGAGTCTCAGTGTCATTATAAACTATCTTGGCAGAGGTTGATCTCCAAGGAATAATTTCTCTCCCAAATTATGCCAATCAGAATTTCACTCTACCATAATTCTTTTAATCAGTTTCAGAGGAACAATAAATTTCAAAATTGTTCGAGGTACTTCTTTTAGTTCAAGTACCTTTTGACAGGTGTAAAACTATATACAGACTGATACAAACATATTCTAATTGACTCAAAATTATATGGGACCTATTTTGAAATCTAGATTTTAAAATGTCGTGTCAACATACACATGTTCTCCTTGTGAAATAATTGCTTTTTATTCTCTGGATAGAATAATTTAATCTTTAAACCTTCAATTCACTGTTAGAAACAAAATTTTACATAAGGATATGCTTATAAAACTAATTCCCAACTAGCTGTTCAATTCAGAAATATCTGTGAAAAATCATCAAACATCTAAGGGATTTCAAGGAGAAATGTGTTAGTAATTTGTTCCATATGTCTCAATTTTTCCTATACTCAAGCCTTCCTTTAAAATAATTGTAGGCATTTAAGAAACCATGTAAACTAAAAAGAAGAAATTGTGACACTGCCGCTTAGGTTTTTTAAATCTTTGGACATGATTCAATATATTTTTAAAATTGTACCTTAATTAGACATTGTGAGTTCACCATCTTCCTGTCAGTGTAGCATCCAAGATGATTATCATAGATTAGAAGTTCAACTATCAACTGTGTTCTGAGAGTCTAAAAAAATAAATGAACGTATTTGTTTGGGTATTCTTAAAGCAGTTGTGAGGACACAGCGAAAGAAAGACAAGGAAAAGAGAACAAAATAAAACAGGAAAGATAGAAAAGCCAATACCACACGTGTTAAGAGGTAAGTTGCTGTGTTAGATATCTGGGCTTAATTTTATGGGACGCTATGTGGAACATACCTCAGAATTACATCACTGAATCCAGGGAGATTCTTCTTAGTTACCCTCACCTTTTCTTCCCACTTCGTGCCCAGTAACAAGCTCCCGTGGTGCTAGAGAAAGTCGTCAGCTAGAAACTTGTGCAAATTCTGGAGATGAGACCTTGTAGAGTGTTAAGAATGGTTTTATTCCCAGCAGCTACAGGTAAGGAATAGAGGCTGGGCTATTAATACATCTGCTACAAACCAATAAAGCCCTTATGCTCCTTTTGGTGATCGACAATGTATTTAAAAATATTAGATGATCAAGAAGGGCTGCAGAAAGGAGGAAACAGAAACAAACAGCACACCTCTTGGTTTATTTTTATTCATTTCATCAGTTTCAAGGAAAATATTTTGGGAGTTCCTGGCATAGAGAATGTCACAAAGACATGTTTTCAATAGTAGTGCTAACCCTAGGGCAGAGAAGACCCAGAGAAAGCCCAAGTGGCTGCTGGAACAAAGTCAGACACCGTGCCAGCTGTCCTCACTCCTTGGCTCTGCCATCATGCTGAAGATCGCTTTAAAGGACTGGCTTTCCTCCCCCGAAAATTAAAAGAGCACAGACTGAGAAACTGAATGTGGGAGACAGCAGTGGATTATGCTGTTCTCAGGGGTCACCTCAGGTTTGGAAGCATTCTTTCAAATTAACCCATCTCAGTCCATCTGCAGAGAAGAAAGGTGGTACCTAACTTTTTTTCTTGTCAGCATTTGGTAGGGGTGTTTTATTGACCAAATATGTTCCCACAACCTAGTTTTTTGTGACTAACTAAATATAGTAGAGTTTTAAAATTTATCATTAAAATCTATAGACAATTTTTGATTAAAATAGACTCCATATCTATGTCCTGCTTTTCTTCTTCTTATTAATTACATTGCTGTATAAAAGAACAAGACTTCAGAATCAAGAATATCTTGTCTCTTGGCATTGAATTTATACAAGGTACTCTTTCTTTAAGGCTGTCTCAAAGGACATATTTTTACTCATTAAAAAGGAAGATCGGAATCTAGTTGTATGCACTGCTCCAACATATTAATAATTAAAATTAGGAGGTAAATGTGGTCAAAGCTATAGAAAGACTGAGATGTCATTTATATTGATTACTGTATAGCACCCTACAAACAGAAATTGTTAAATAATAGTTTATATAAATATTTTGTAGCATTTCAAATATTTGAGTGCTTGAAGTTTCTCCTCTTATATAGTTCAGATTATCAATATGAAGACTTACTCCGCTAGTTAATATGTTTTTAGTCTCGTTTGAGTATTATATAAAAGCAATTTTCAGTTAAATGTATTCTGCTTACATAAAACATTACAAATTTTTGAGGATTTAATTACTTATTCATGTTCCTGTAATGTCTTTAGAAGATTTTCTTATTATTACCTATCAATATATGTATGCTTTGTCAAAGAAAAATCAAACATATATATCATTGAAATTGAAACTTTTTAAAAGTACTTATTAATTCTATTGAAAAACCACATCCATAGGAACAATTACAATATTATATTGTGAACATGTAAATATATAACCTATGTTTATTTTATGTATAAGCATGTATGCTTAAAAATATAGTGAAAAATTTTTAAACCTAGTGTTATAAAGTAAAAATTAGTTAACTTCTGATGATTATTTGTTAATTAAGATAAAATTATTTTGATTTGGTTGATTTTAAATAAAGAAAAATATTAAATTACATGACAAAAAATCTTTATAAAATGTTTATGATTTTTACATTGGTTTTATCACTTTATTCCACTATTTTATTTTAAGATGACCTGCCTTGTTTAAAACACTGTATTCATCTTAATGAAATTAGATTCCATTTGTAAATAAATTAACAAATGATTTGCTCTATTGTACAGCGCGGTTATAAACTGAGTCAGTATCTCAAGATTTGATCCCCATTATCATCATCTGTGACCCTATTTGTTTTATAAATGTATTGTCTTTTTCCATGCCTGTCACATCTCTATTGCTCTTTCATTTTTCTCTTTGTCCCTTATAGGGAACATTGCCTATCTCTAGATTAAGCAAAAGTTGCATCATAAAAAAGCACAATAACCTGCTCGATCTTTCTCACACAGAGAAATGTTTGTTAAGTAATTAAAGTGTAGATGATGATACAAAGAGGTTGATTAAATTAGATGCCAAAGTACCCTTGTGATTCAGAATATGAATGATATTAATTTCTTTGAAATCATTAATTGCTGAGTGACATTAATTAATGCCAATATTCCAGAAGATGTTCTAGTTAGTGAAATGTATACAACATGCAAGAACTCTGAAGGGCAATATTATTCTATAATTAAGGATTTAGAATTAATTCACATTAATTATTGGGGAGAAATAATTAAGAATTAATGACTGAGAAAATGTTTTTATATTTTATTTAGAAAATTATTTTGTGCATAAGCATTACCGCAAGTTTTGCAAGAAACATAATTTTAAACAAAGAATTATGTGGACAAGATGAATTTAATAACATCTTGATATTTTCCACGATTGCGGTTTTATTTTGTAAATCTTTAAATGCACACCATTTAAGGATAATAAATGAATCTTGGAAATCTTGTAGGTAGGGTTACATATTAGGATGCATCCAGTTACATTTACACACACATACAGTTACATTTACACACACATACAGTTACATTTACACACACATACATGCATACAGACTGATTCACCTGTGTATATATATATGAATTTACTAATTGATTTTAACTTATATTTATAAGAGCCAGTTGAATTGATATGTATTGTTGAACCTGAAAAATATTTATTATATACATTTTTAAAATACACACAGATATAAATAGTAATTGCACTAGGCATTTGAAACTGTACTAAAATATAAGCTGTGAATATGTTGTGATCATTACAAATACACAGAATAAATATTTTTATTTTTACAATATTAATATGTTTGATACCTGTGTACATTTTTTTTACAATGTGTTATTTATTTTTGTCATAGAGTCATGTCATGCATAATAACATTTTAGTCAAAGATGGATTACATATACAAAAGTGGTCCATTGAGATTATAATAGATATTTTTACATACTTTTCTACGTTTAAGTATTTTTAGATACATAACCTCTTACCACTGTGTTCTTATTGCCTGCTGTATTCAGTACAGTAATGTAGTACACAGATTTGTAGCCTGGGAGAGAGAGGCTATACCATATAACCTAGACGTGGTAGGCTGTACAATCTAGGTGTTTGTAATATTATCTGTGATGTTTGCAAAATGATGAAATTGCCTATGGATACATCTGTTAGAATGTATCCCTATCATTCAGTGATGTGTGACTGTACTAAATTGCTCAATGTCAGTTTCAATGCCCTCCATAAAATTGTTGTACTGTGAAATACAAATCTCTCACCCATGGCCTGAATATGTTTGCAAACTAATCAGATCATGGGAAGGAGAATGTGCTGGCATGGCTGGGATAATTTTCTCACACTAAATGAATAATATCTACAGACTTCGTGAATATGAGCCACTTTCATAGAGTTAAAGTAGGCATCTCTTTGCTGGGAAATTTATCAAATGGGAGTATGAAGTGTTTTTAAAAGATACTTGTTTGTTTGTAGCTGGTAGGCCTACAGTCGCTCATGGCAATGGTTGAGGTTGCTAAGATTTGGTGGAAGAAGGCAAAATGAAATGGCCACTTATATGGTATATGGTATATGGATCACTTGTTTCTGTTAAGTTACAGACTCAGCTGGCTATTTCTCCCAATGTTATTTGGAGAAAAAAACGTGATGGTAATTTTGGGGTAACAAATACAATATTTGATGAAAACAAATTTATTGAGGGTTAGACAAACTACAAGATACTTTAGGCTGCAAAGTCAACACGAGACTTCTGGCCCAAATTGTGCAGAGTTTGCGTCCAGCTGCACAGTTCAAAGGAAGAGGCCATGTAAGAATATTCTCACTTCTGACACCAACTGCCATTTCAGGGGTTTCCCCTGAACACCCTCAGTTTCTAGAATTTACTAGAAAGACTCACAGAACTCATTGAATGCCATTGTACTCATAGTTTGTAATACAGAAAGGGTAGAAATTAGGACCAATTGAAGAGACATATCATATAAGGTGGAATCTAGGAGATTTTGAATGTTAAGTTTCCATTGTCTTCAGGACATATTACCTGTCGTTGTACAGCAATAAACATGGAGTACTACCAACCTGGGGAGCTCACCTGATGCTAAAAAGACACTATTTTGAAAATGAAAAGACAAATGAAAGGATGAGATAAGATGACGTTCCACATTAAGGCACTGGAACGAATAGCAAACTAAACCTAAAGCAAGCAGAAGGAAGAAAATAAAAATTAGAGAATTTAATAATTTATAATATTTGTTAGTGTTGAATAATTCATATTATTTCTTGACTAGCTTTTTTAAAAGAGAGAAATATTCCCTTCCCAATTTATTCTGTGGGGCCAGTGTTACCTTGATACAAAAATTAGTCCAAATAGCATAGAAAAATAAAACTACTATAAGTATAAATGCAAAATTCCTTAAAAAATAGTAACAAATCAGATCTAGCAACATATAAAAGAATTATACACTATGACAAAGTGAAATTTATACAAGTAATCCCAGGTTGGTTTAACAGCCCAAAGTCCATTAAGGTAATACAACTTATCCACAGAATAAGAAACGAGAATTGCATGATCATCTCGATAAATTCGGAAAAGACATTTAACAAAATCCAAATGCTTTAATGATTAAAAATAAAAATAAAAACTCAATGAACCAGGAATAGAGAACTTTCTACACCAGATACATGGCACCTGTGAAAAGCCAACAGCAAGCATGCAACTTAATGGCAAAGGATGCTTTCCTGCTATGGTCAGAGATAAGAATAGGATATATACTTTGACCTCTTCTAGTCAACACTGTACTAAAGATTTTATGCAGGGCAAATCGGCAACTAAACAAAAAAGAGTCACCCATACTGAACAGGAAGAAATAAAACTTCATTTGAAAAAACATTCTTGTATATAGAAAATTTTAAGGAATACACTGAACGATAGAACTCGTAAATTATTTCAGCAATATTACAGCATACAAGATAAATGTACAAAAAATCAATTGCACACACCTACAATGAAAACCCCAAAATGAAATTAAGAAAACACTTCAATTTAAAATAGCATCAAAAAAAGAAATAATAATTAATTTGGAAAATGTGTTACAAGATTTTACTCTGAAAATTAAAAATTATTGTTTAAAGAATATCTAAATAGTTAGCAAACATCTACCACCCATGAATTGGAAGTTTTAATATTGTAGTACTTTACAATTTAAATTACAGTTTTGATGAAATCCCTGCAAGTATCCCAACAGACTTCTGTGTAGAAACTGACAAGCTGATTCTAAAATACACATGGAAATGTAAGGGACTCAAAATAGCCAAAATAATATTTAAAAAAGAAAACATGTTAGGATAATTCACACCCCCATGCTCCAAACCTTACTGCAAAGTATCAGTAATCAAGACAACACAATACTGATGAAGGAAAAATATATAGATTGATGGAAGAGAATTGAGAGTCCATATATAAAACTATATGTCTCTAGTCAATGGATTCTTACAGTGGTGCCATGTGCAATTCAATGAGGAATAGACAGTCTTTGAACAAACTGGGTCAACAACGTACACGTGGATCACCACTTGCAAAATAATAAATTCGAACCCTTACCCCAAAGCATACAAAAATATTAACTCAAATGAATTAAAGACACACATGCAAGAGCTAGAATAAAGCATATGGGAAAAACTTCAGGATTTTGGATCTAGCAAAGAAATAGCTGTAACCCCAAAAACATGAGCAACAAAATAAAAATTAGATATTTAAAATTTCTTAAAAATTAAAGACATTGGTGTTTCAAAGGACAACCAAGCAAGTCAAAAGGCAGCTCAAAAATTGTGAGAAGATATTTGAAAAACACGTATCTATATGTCTGTATATATATGTACCTTGAATATAGAAAAATTGTTTTAACTCAGTAACAAATATCCCAACTCAAAACTGATAAATGATAGGAATAGATGTGTTTCCCAAGAAGATGCACGAATGGTCAATAATCCCATAAAAAGATACTCAATAGCATCACTCATCAGGCAACTACAAATCAAAACCACAGTTAGATACTCTATGGCTAGAACTGGCCACTTTGGAAAATAATTTGATGGCTTTTAAATATGTTAAACATAGAATTGTCATATGGCCCAGAAATGTATTCTTAGGTATACACCCAGATTATTGGAAAGTGGTGTTCAAACGCAAATTGTACACAAGTATTTTTAGCAGCAGTATTTTAAATAGCCAAAGGCTGAACACAACTCAAATGACAACAAAAATATTATTGGATAAACAAAATGTTATATCCATGAAATTGAATGTTATACAGTTATAAAAAGAAATAAAGTACCAATACGTACATGAACCTTGATAGCATTATGCCAACTGAAAGAAGCCAGGCAGTAAAGGCCACCTATTGTATGATTCTATTTAGATGAAAACAGAATAGGAAAATCTATAGAGACAGAAAACAGATTTGTGGTTGCTTAGGATTGAGTAGGGGATGGGTGCATAGGAGGTTAACAGGTAGAGAAGGTGGGGTTTCTTTTTGAAGTGATGAAAATGCTCTAAAATTCATTGTGATGATGGCTCCACTTATCTATGCACATACTAAAAGCGACTGACTTATAGACATTAATGTGTGCACTCTACACTATATAAATTATATCTCAATAAATCCTTTCAAAGATACACAGAAGAGTAAGGGGTTTTGGAATGTTGCAGCTGGGAGGCAGTTTGAAATACTGAATAGGCCTCATTGAGAATGTGAAGTTTCAGTAAAGACTTGAGGAAGTTGAATGAGCTGATCAATGGATATATGGAGGGCTATCTTTCCAAGCCAAGAAATTAACTAGAGTCTTGGTCATAAGTCAGCAGCATGTTGGCATGTCCAGAGGACAAGTGAGGTGGCCAGGACCACTGGTAAATCAAGGGTGAAGATGTAAAAGAATTTTGGCGGTTAACATGTGGCAGATCATGATGGGCTTGCAGACCATTGTAAGAATTGTTGTTTTTAGTGTACATGAAATGGGGAGACAAGTCATTATCCCATTATCAATATTTTAATAAATTGGATCCATGAACCAAATACAATGAGATTAAATCAATAAATAATAATATGTAAATTTGTATTAAAATTACAAGAATTCCTTGCATATTTGAGAACAGGAGAGTCATGATTGTTTATCAGCAATAATAAACATTATTAATTTTAATGGTGATCAGCTAATTGAGATTAATTGCAATACATCATGCTGTATAATGTGACTGTCAAAAGGAAAATATGATTGTAATCTTATACTACATCTATCAATGTCTTTGATTCATAAGACTATACAGTAAGCCCCTAGTTTTCAAAGCCAACTTTTGAGGCAGTGACATCTTATGCAAGTTTGCTGCTTTCTGCCACAGTGATCCTTGGTCAGCTGGCACAAATTGTTTTACAAACGCCCCTACGTCTAAAAATAGTTTGGATCACAATGAACACAGAAACACCTTCATCCCTTCAGGAATACCTATCAATTACTTCCAACACAGAATGAAGAATTGACAAAGGAAATATGTGGATTGTAAAAATGCCAGTTAGCTTGCATCTACATGAAAGAAAAATGCCATTTTTATTACATTAGATCATTGTTTCACATGAGTTTTGGTATAGCACAATGTTGAACCAAGGGCAAAGAGAGATGAATTAATGAAGTCTAAAGATATCAAGAATTTGAAAGAAAAGGCAGTTCATCTTTGAAGGTTAGTGACATAGCATTCATCTTCTGTTGTCACCTTTCCCGTCATTCCCTGTATGTCTGATGGACAGGTTTCACTCAAGTTCAGAGAACAGCATGCAAAATTAGCTACCAATTAATCTTTATGGAGAGAGCTGCATTTCTAGCCAGACTGAGCTTACATTTTAACAGGAAGCATTTTTGGGAAATGTTTATGTTAGAGTTTGCCCTTCTTGACAAGGTGAGACATAAATGTCTATATTATAGACATGAATTAAGATGGGAAGATATTTGGGGGAATCATTTACTCAAACGCTAAATAATAAAGGTACACAAAGGGCAAATTATACTAGATTTCTTTCCCACTTGTTTTCTATGTCTCATGCAATTCACCTTGATTCCCTTCAGTTTCTGTTTAATGTAGAAAGTGGTATTTTCATTATTGTAAGCTTCTAGCACAATGAAGGAATTTCTCTCTTTCATGAACAGGATCATAAATGAAAGGGAGGAAGAGTGTCCTCTACCATGTTTATTGTTCAACAAAACTCTGCTCCACGGCTTAAATTAAGTTTAAAAAAGAGAATTTGTTGAACATCTAACGTATCCATAAAAGACAGTAAAGACAAATGAGAAGAGGAGAGGATATTGAGGTATACAGACTTCAATGCTGAGTTTTATATCTTAGGAAGTTACTCCACCTTACAGAGGCTCAATTTCCCCTGATTTAGGAAGGCGATGCAAATGGGTATTGCATAGGTGTAAGTAGAAAAATGTTGTATTTAAGAGAATCCCACAAGCTTGGTATAAGGCAGAAAATAAATAGGTGTGACATGAATAAGTAGTTTATTACATTTGTATGCTACGTGCGGACTAGACGAAGCAAGAAACACAGCAACTATGCTTGATTAGCATTATACAGATGGTACAATGATGGTTGTCAGAAGCTGGAGGGAGGAAGAAATGGGGAAGTATTATTTAATGGGTATAGAGTTTCAGTTTTACAAGATGAAATGAATTATGGAGATGGATGGTAGGGACGGCTGCACAATGTTATGACTATATTTAGAACCACGGAACTGTACACTTAAAATGGTTAACAGAGTACATTTTATGTTATGTGTATTTTACCCCAATAAAAAAATAAAATACCTTTGGAACATTTTCATGAAAAAGCCCACATAAAATTCATTTTAATGCATGTGTTTATACATAGCTTTCTATTTTTCTCTTTTCTGTTTATATTCCAAATTCTAATCAGAGAAGGGAATCCCCTCTTTACCTCCAGGATATTCAGTAAAGACCACTGGAGGTTCATGCCATAGTGAAAGTGCTCATTTAGCTCCAAATTACAGATGGCTCTAGACTAACTCCACAAAGTTTAAAGAGAAGATTTAAAACAACAACAGAAAAATACTCATCCTGAAGTTACTGAACTGCCTGCCACAACATTGTTCAAAGGTAGCCAATAAAATCTAGATATTCAATAGCATAACATCAACATACCCCCCAAAAAACTCTGACATGCAAAGAAGCCGTAAGATATATATGATTAAGATATATATTAACAGGGTAAAATAAGTCATTTATAAATGACAGAAAAGAAGGAAATTTCAAGGTCCTTAAAGTAAATATATTTTATAAATACATATAGTTAACTACATATATATGTCAAGGTACTTAAATGAAAATTCAACATAGGAGAAAAATAGAATTTATAAAATGAATAATGAGACATACATAGATGAAAAATAAATATTTGAAATACAAATCCCATGAGATAGAATAAGTAATGGATTTTACGCTAACATCAGAAAATTTATAGAAAAAAAAGAAGCTTTACAAACTAAAGGACAAAGGGTAAACTAAAATAAGAAAGCTAGAAACTCACTGATACATCAGACAATATGCAGCAGTGTAACATACATGTAATCAATATCTCAAAAAGGATGGGTGGGGGAATTATAGGTGAATAAAGAATGGTACACTCATTCCTGAGGGCACCAAGGAGGGAGGATAGCTTTAGATTCCTAAGGGAGGGTATTATCGATTCATGAAGGTCCAACCCCATGACCAAACACCTCCCAGTGAGCCCCACCTGCAACATTGGGGATCAAATTTTAACATGAGATTGGAAGGGGCAAGCATTCAAACCATAGCAAGAGTTAAACTTCCTTTTTAAGAAAATCACCGATATGATTCCATTTCGCCATAGATAGAAACTAGTATTTCAGCCTACCATTGAGTGTGCTTATAGCTCATCAAAAGGGCACTCTGTCTCGGGAATACAGATTTGCCTAGAGGTATCCAATTGCAGTCAAAGAAAGAGCAATGAGGGATAGAAAAGGTTAGTGATGGAGAAACCAGCGCTGCATTTTGCAACAAACAATGTAAAAACTTTACGGATTGGTTCTGCTAACTTACTACAGTTTACATTCCTCTCAGGTGGGAGAATTATTGCGTTTTTTCTTAAGATAGAAAAACAATTCAGATAATCTGAAATCTCCACAAGAAGGATAAGAAGCAGAGAAGAAATTATTCTAGGCAGGAAGTCAATCCTTTCAACTGTCTGTGCTCCATAGGAACAATTGTCTGCACTGGGATCATATGAGGTACAGACCACAGCCAGACCTCTGATCCTCTCATTAGTGATTTCAGAAGAAATTACCAGTGAACTGAGTAACTCACTGAGTAAAGTAAACATTTGGCACTGAAAGAGGTTAGACGGATAACTATTTGTATCACCATATTCATGAAGCTGGAATATGTTCCAATACTGGTATCACATCCGAATGGAAGATATTAAAAGGTCTCTCATCTTGTAAGATGGATATGAAAGAACATTTTCTGAGAAATGAAATTATTAACACACCTGCGAGGTGGATGGAAGAGAAAAAAAGAATAATCAGCTTGAGTTCTTCTCCTTGATAAGACAACTCACTAAAAACATAAAGAGAAAAATACAAGTTTAAAATAATTAACCAGAAGAAGAAGACTCTAGAGATTTTAAATTGCTGGTAAGATTTTAATTTTCTCCAAGTTGAAAATAATTATATTGCTTGTGTTTTAAGGCACATAATGAGCAATTATAGCACACATGATAGTTTCAGCAGTAAAATATTATCCGTTAACAGCTGGAACTCATAACAGCATAGCACAATGTGAAGATGGAATTTGCTAAAATAAACCATCTGCTGAAAACTACTATTCTGCAAATTTAAAAATAAAGTTTAAATGTTATTTGTCTTATTTAATAGGTCTGTGAAAAAAATGCGCTATTTGAAAAGCAGCTGCTACCTTAATTAATTCTTTATATTAGACAGCTGGTTACAGTAATGCACAGTAAGGTGCTATAAAGATATATTGCCAAATTTTCTGCATATACTATGTATTTGGCTTAAATTATTTGAAATTTTATAGTTAAAATAACAAATGTATATTTAAATGTTTTGACACAAATTGCAAATATACCTTTAAAAAGCGTCTTACACTCTAAATATTATTTGTCACCTACATATTTGTCTTTTCTCTATAGGAAAGTTTAAATTTCTCCCTTGAAGCTTTAATTATTTGAATCTATAAAACAAACTGATAATATACAAATTAACAGGAAAAAAGGTTTATAGATATTTGCACAAGTATGCACTTGGAGTTTACATAATATATATAAATATATCTATACAAATATTTGTATAATATAAATAGATATACAAATATATACTATATATATAAAAACTCCAGGAAAGGCAAGGTAGTCAACACGCCTATGCTGTCTTGAGGTTACAGAAAACACAGAGCTGTAGGTTGGTAAATCAGGCTTTGAGGAAGACAGGTGACGACAAGGAAGAAAGAGGAGCCTGGCAGCAGAGGTGGTCTTGTTACATGGATGAAACCTCACAGGGAGCAGCCCTCCTCTTGGGAAGTATAGATAGGAAATGGTTTTTAGAAATGTAAACCTGCCAGGCTCAGCTAATCTTTCCTAAACCCAGACAAGGGAGTATCTCAGGGAAAGCCTGTCTATATCAATGCAGACTTTCTCTGCAAATGCAAATCTCCCCAAAAAACACGGCTTTTAAGCTATTCTTGTAGAAGAAGCTATCTACAGTCTTCCGAGTAGCCATCTTGAAATGTGTCAAAAAGCTGCCCAGCCGCACGCCTGTAATCCCAGCACTTTGGGAGGCTGAAGTGGGTAGATCACCTGAAGTCAGGAGTTGGAGACCAGCCTGACCAACATGGTGAAACCCCGTCTCTACTAAATACAAAACATTAGCTGAGTGTGGTGGTGCATGCCTGTAATCTCAGCTAATTGGGAGACTGAGCTAGGAGAATGACTTGACCCTGGGAGGCTGAGGTTGCAGTGAGCCAAGATTGTGCCATTGCACTCTAGCCTGGGCAATAAAAGCAAAACTCCATCTGAAAAAAATAATGTATTTTAGGGTAATATTTTGAGTATCTTTACCTCCATATTTACAATAAATATTCTTGTGATTTTTAATCGTTTCTGTGGAGAAAACACAGGTGTGATTTCTAGTGTAGCTGAACATCGTTTATTTGACAATATTGCAGTTGTGTGTGGGTGTGTGCGTGTGTAGCTACTTTTTAATTTGATTCTCACATAATGATTAGATATCAACAATTAATTCAGTAAAATGTATGTTTTGCAATATTTCTCGATGTTATTCTGCTTTAAATTAGTTGAA
The DNA here is from genome assembly GCF_000001405.40 of Homo sapiens. NCBI lineage: Eukaryota > Metazoa > Chordata > Mammalia > Primates > Hominidae > Homo > Homo sapiens. Next base: position 62,422,978 of record NC_000007.14, read on the forward strand.
TCATGTCCCTATGATGTGTACATTTTAACCTTTGACTATAGGTCTCAATCTTACTTTGGATCCTGTATTTCAATTTATGCTAATAAAGTCCTACAGATTAAAAAGATTATATAAACTTATCTACATTTTTATTAGTATTCTAGTGTCATTTTAAATTATGTAATGAAATCAAATTTTAATTTGGATTATTGTTATCTGAGTTAAGGATCTAAATTTTTAATTTTCTTATAAACATTACATAATTATTTCTGAACCATATATTGACTAATCTGCCCTTTATATGATGTGCATTATAAGAGCTTAGGATTGTTCCATTTGCAAAGATGAATGCTTCAGAAACAGATATTTAATCATAACATTTCAAAATCTACTGGATATCCTAGAATTGAAAAACAGCCTATAGGTTGAAAAACTCCTGTAGTGAAGAAAGAAAATAACTAATATACAGTGACAATATAAATATTATAAGTATTTATTTTATTATTACCCTGAAATTTTATAATACAAACATGTAATATCTACATATCATCCATGTATCAGGTCATAAAAAATCAATACATTCTTCAAAAATTTAGCATAACAGAAAATCCACTCTCTCTCCTTGACGGAATGAAGTTACAAATAAAAGTAAAAATAAGTAGTTAAGTAGATGGAAATAGATGTTTAAAAACAAAGAAAAATATTTGTTTTGGATAACATAAAATCTCAATTGACAATTCCAATATTTCCAGAACTTTGCCTGTCAACTGGTGGAGAGTTTTCCCCAGGAGACATTTGTCAATGTCTAGGGTTATTGTGGGGATGTCAAGACTGGTGGAGGTGGGAAATTTAGAGGTCTAACGAAACACCTGGCATTGCTAGGGCAGCCACCCACAACAAAGAATCCTCTGGTCCTAAAGGTAAGTAGCACCAAGGTTCAGAAACCATAATCTAGACAGGAAACACTATGTAGCTATTCCAAGTGCTCAGGAAAACACATCAGTGCCCTCGAGGGGAAAAGTGTAAACATTTTAATTGCTGTACCTGGTGACACAAATCTATGTTGTTAATCTAAGTGGAAGGAGCTGAAGCACAAAACGTAATTCAAAGAGTTTACTTGAGCCACAATGAGGACAGCTGCCTGGAAGAAACAGACCCAAGTATCCTTGGTTATGAACTCCCTTTGGAGCTTTGCAACAAGCAGTTTCTTAAAGGCAAAAAAGGTTCCAGAAATGGGATAATGCAAAGAGGTTTGTCACAAATTCTCATTGGCTTATGGAAATAACATTTATTAGTGACTGGCTATACACTGTTACACTATTATTGGGTGTGGATTATAGTGTCTGGTGTGGCGTTATTGGTTAATTTATAGCTACTGTGGCAACAGCAAGCAGCCTAGATGAACACACAGCTCAAAGACGAACAGGACAGAACTGTTGTCTCATTTGAATATCTCTCTGGGCCTGATTATTTAAAAGGACTTGCACTTCTCACATGAAAGTTATTTTCTTTTCTCAATGTCCATAAATGAGAATAAATAGACCTAAAATAGATCTTTTCGAGGGTGAAGTAAATGGAATGAAAAACAAAACCCAAGCTGACCAGAAATCATAGAGGGAAGAAAACGTTATAAATATATGGATTTTTCAAAGTGATTTTAAACTATTAGGAATCAGTTAAATGTTGGGGGATTTTGTCTGAGAATGGTCTAAAGGAGAATGTCCCTTTTGCCTTCTGAAGTTTCCCTGAAAATCACTAATAGGAGGCAGATAAATAGTAGAAAAGGCATACAGGTTTCTGCAATGTGTGTACACTGGAGCCCTTAGAACGAAGACCCAGACACACGATGCGTGCAGAAGCTTATCTATCACATGAAGTTTACAGAAAGAATGGGGTCTTGGATCACAGGGAAAAGAAAGAAAAAGGTTATGTGAGGAAACGAAACTGGCTAGGAACAGTGGACTTATTACATAGGTGGAACCTCACTGGGAGCAGTCCTCAGAGAGAATAGACAGAAAATGCTTCTTTCAGACCTTTGGAGACCTCAGACTCTCAGTTAATTTTCCTATATCCAGACAAGGGGGCAGACCTCAGAGAAAGCCTGGATGCATCAAGGCAGATTCTCTACCGATGCAAATCTCCCCAAAACAGCTTTGCAGCTAAGTTTGCATTTCCAGCCCTTCTCAATAGCCATTTTGATATATATCAAGGAAATATATTTAGGGGTAAAATATATTAGTTTCCCTCATACAGCTATAAAACATACAGGAATAATTTTTGTCAATGTCTACTACAAATCCAATATAGCAGTAATTATAAAACCCACCAGATATTGAAGAAAAAATATGTAGAGTACCTCAATTACAAATGTTGATACTAAAATGCCAAATAAAATAAAAATAATATCCAACAATATTTGAAAGAGTAAGACAAGAAATTGGCAAAAAAAAAATATCCACCTTGGGGATGAAAGTGTGTTTCCAAATTTGGTAATCCAATAATATTAATAATCATACTGATTATCCCAAATTAAAAATAAATAGGGGATTCTCAGTATATGCTAAAATATATTCTTTAAAAGGAAATATTCATGTCTTTAAAGATTTTAAATGCTATAAAGAGTCTGATATTCTATAGGCAAACGTGTATGTCCACTAGAAGAAGAGAGGCCTGATTTTCATATGTTACTATATAGAGATAGAGAAGTGGATAGATTAATTTGCCTATGCATAGGGAAAGCATAAAATAGAAATTTACTCTCATATTAAAGGAATTTTAATTCAACAATAAAATAATTCAAAGGTAAAATTTTAAATATTTTAACAGATACATTATTAATATTAGATAATATTTATAACAGTTGTGAAAATATTTAATGCTAAAATAAGATACAATGTTTAAACATCAGTATTAAAACTACTATAAATATTTGCTTGTTTATACAAGGAAAATTCAAGCTCGACCTAAAATTATATGGGAAATAAAAGAAAAATTTTAAGGGAGCTCTTTAATAACAAAAACATATATATATACACACACACATATAACATGTATCTATGTTATATGGGATATATATATATTTAACATGTTATATCTATATTTGTATCTATAACTACAGCTGTATGTATCCACATTTCTATATATTTACTCAGTGATATAAATATAGACGGGAATAAATAAAAGGACACATATGATTCTTGGATTAAAAGGATTTAGTATCATAAAGACAAATACTTTCCAAATTCACTTATGAATTCACAACAATATACAGTTTCATTAGTACAATTTACAATTTTTAAATAAACTCCTATATCCATTTAATGGAATATACATGTATAAAAGCAGCCAAGAAAGAAGCAAGAGTGCACTAAGCTAACTTGCTATTAAAATACATTTGTAAACTTAGTCAGTAAAACTGAGCAGTACTGATTTGGAGTACTGGAATTTAGGTATATGGGATCTCAAATGCACAGAGCTAAAAGGAGACCCCTGTATGCACGAGAGCTTAGGATGTGCTTTAGAAGGCATTACCAAACCACGGGCAATGTTACTTTAGTGTCTTAGTCTTACTAGGTTTGAAAAGCCACAGAAAAGACTCAAGAACACTATATAAGAGCGAAACAAAAGGACAGGGAGAGAATGTGAAGATACTGGAATATTTTACATAAAGTTGTATAAAATATCCTTTAAAGAAAATATAAAGTTTATGATATACATCAAAATCAGCAGAGCCACTAAATAAATAAATAGGCATTGTAAAATAACAAGAGAAAATTTAAATGGATTTCTAAAAAATATTGACCCCTATGATTTTTAAAATATGTTTAAGAAATCCCGTATTTCACAGGGCAGCCTTTCACAACACAGATATATTAGGACATAAAGGTCCTTCTGTTTTTAATTTACTAGTGTTTATAGGGTTACAAATGTCTTCTACCCTTGTCTTTTGTCTGATGGTGCAAAAAATTTTCATCAGCATGTGTTTCTGAATGCCTGATGAATTGACATATATAATAAGCTGCTAGTATTAAAATACGTGACATAAAACGTATCCAATCTTCTCACTGTTTACATAAATTCTAGGTTTCTCCTATTTACCTCAAGCACGCATGGAGCGAATTCTTACCTTTTAATATTGCCATGGCATTCACATTGAACATACGTTGAACTCTCTCATATGGTAGCTGGGTTCGGATTCCCTTGACAATTTCCAGTTCTAACCCTCACAGTTCCTCAGTGTGGCTGGCCCAGTTATTGACCCTACACAGTTGCCTCCTCCTGGTGACTACCAGCTATGGAACCGTTTGATACAACCTACCTGACTCACCCCACAGACCTCACAGTGCATATGGACAGCCCCCACACGCCAGAGTGACCTGCTCGGTTGCAGCGGGAGTCAAGAAATGTGCCTGCTGGCACTCACCCCACCGACTAGTGCCCCGTGGAAAACTTATTTGGATAATGTTCTGGGCCCAATAAAGGCTGGAGTCCCACAGATCCCTTTTCTCTCTCCTGCTCCCCACTCACCTTCCCTATTTTGTTCAGCCCTATGAGGTGTGCTACTGTATTAGTCCATTTTCACACCTCCAGTAAAGACATGCCCAAGACTGGGTAATTTCCAGAAGAAAGAGGTTTAATAGATGCACAGTTCCACATGGCTGGGTAGGCCTCATAATCATGGCACAAGCTGAAAGGCACATCTCACATGGCAGCAGACAAGACAAGAGAGCTTGTGCAGGAAACTCCCCTTTATAAAACCATCAGAACTTGTGAGACTTATTCACTATCAGAAGAACAGCATGGGAAAGACCCACCCTCATGATTCAATTACCTCCCACCTGTTCCCTCCCACAACATGTGGGAATTCAAGATGAGATTTGGCTGGGGACACAGCTAAACCCTCTTCTCAGCTACCCTCTTCTCTCTGGATCTGTGAGTAATAAACCTACTTCTGTGATTTCCCATGTTTTGTTCTGTGGCCTCTATGGGTCTGAGCTGACCTACACTGGAACCTATCTCTCCTCTGGCCAGGGTCTCCGAGAGTGGCTCTTGTCAGAAATACACAGGACACAGGTCAGGCAACAGTCACCAGGCATCTCCTAGTCTCAACAGATGTTCTGTGAGAGGGAGGCCTGGTCGTGGGATGCACACCTGGCCACTGCTGGGGTAAGGAAGTGTCCTGTGAAAGGCACATGCTAAGCATCCACAACCCCTGACCAGAACCTCAGAAAGGCAGGGCTCCAATTGACAATCACTCTCCAGAGACAAACCTCAAGCCCTAACTGGAGGAAAAGAAAATAATGTAAAAAGTTGAATTTATCTTACTATTTCAATGATCCAGTAAAGACATTCTATGCCTGTACACCACATATTTTCTTTGATTGTGGATTTATTTTAGATAGAATTTTAGGTCTGGCTTTCACTTTAGCCTGGTCCCTACCTCAAGCATAAGGTAAAGATTATCCATGCATTCTTTTCTGGTACTACTACCTGCCAGTGTGGGGTCATGTCCTAGTCTATCTTGAGGGAATCCCCCTGTTCATTATTGTCAGAGTGAGACTGTTAAGTCTTGATTTCCCTGGACAACTTCACTGCATGACTTCTAATATGATTTTTTAATATACCCTTTACTGGACAATAAATTCTATAGTTATCTGAGTAAGAGATATGGTCAGGAAGAGGCATTGCCTCATTCAGCTTTTCTCTTTCGTGAACTCGCATATGTTCTCCTCACCCGCCAGTCACCTCTAAACTGTATTGTTCCAAGACAACAAACAGAACTTGAGTGTGTATCTTTCATCACTGGATTTGAGTTTGCTCCATAAATCTTCACGCTTAATAGGGTTTCTGTTAGCTTTTTCTGTATTTATTTTCCCATAAAATATCACAGGCCTTCTTCATATGGAATTATGGGTGATTTACTTCAATCTGCATCATATCAAGTTGAGGTTCATGTTGATGAAAAGTAAAACATACGTTGAAAATATCAGTAAGGATGTTTTCCCCTCCTTTTTAGCACCTGTGCTTGTGATACAAGCACATTTTAATACAATTGTGGTCTCATGCTTTGATCATTCCTATGATGAAAATAACATTTTTAGCTAAAATATCTGAGTTTTATGAGGCCTTTAGTATGTGATGTGATAGAATATCAGAAGACTATACGTTTTTCTAGTTTTCCATGCAATTCTATCATTATTTCATCTTTACTCCTAGCAGAGTAATTTTGCAAAGTAGATATCCTGTCATTCATCCTGTTGTTATCAGTAAATAAGTGAAATTAAAGGCTAGATTATATAATTTATCTAGAACAAGAAAGTAGAATTGAATCTATATTCATTAATGAGACTAACCAGTCAATTACACAGATAGGCATTTTACATTTTGAAGATCATATGGACCTATTGTCAGAAATATTATTAATTATGTCTATGTGGACATCTCCTGTGCATATTTACATAGAAATCAATGAGAGCTGATTTTTATTTTTATTATATATATTTTTTGAGATAGGGTCTTGCTTTGTTGCCCAGGCTGGAGTGCAGTGGTGCAATCACTGCTCACTGAAGCCTCAGCCTCCCAAGCTTAAGCAATTTTTCCACCTTGGCCTCCCAAATAGCTAGGACAACAGGTGCACATCACCATGCCCACTTTTTTTTTTATTATACTTTAAGTTTTAGGGTACAGGTGCACATTGTGCAGGTTAGTTACATATTTATACATGTGCCATGCTGGTGCGCTGCACCCACTAACTAGTCATCTAGCATTAGGTATATCTCCCAATGCTATCACTCCACCTTCTCCCCACCCCACAACAGTCCCCAGAGTGTGATATTCCCCTTCCTGTGTCCATGTGATCTCATTGTTCAATTCCCACCTATGAGTGAGAATATGCGGTGTTTGGTTTTTTGTTCTTGTGATAGTTTACTGAGAATGATGATTCCCAATTTCATCCATGTCCCTACAAAGGACATGAACTCATCATTTTTTATGGCTGCATAGTATTCCATGGTGTATATGTGCCGCATTTTATTAATCCAGTCTATCATTGTTGGACATTTGGGTTGGTTCCAACTCTTTGCTATTGTGAATAATGCCACAATAAACATACGTGTGCATGTGTCTTTATAGCAGCACGATTTATAGTCCTTTGGGTATATACACAGTAATGGGATGGCTGGGTCAAATGGTATTTCCAGTTCTAGATCCCTGAGGAATCGCCACACTGACTTCCACAATGGTTGAACTAGTTTACAGTCCCACCCAAAAGTGACAAAAACAAGCAATGGGGAAAGGATTCCCTATTTAATAAATGGTGCTGGGAAAACTGGCTAGCCACATGTAGAAAGCTGAAACTGGATCCCTTCCTTACACCTTATATAAAAATCAATTCAAGATGGATTAAAGCCTTAAACGTTAGACCAAAAACCATAAAAACTCTAGAAGATAACCTAGGTATTACCCTTCAGGACATAGGCATGGGCAAGGACTTCATGTCTAAAACATCAAAAGCAATGGTAACAAAAGACAAAATTGACAAATGGGATCTAATTAAACTAAAGAGCTGCTGCACAGCAAAAGAAACTACCATCAGAGTGAACAGGCAACCTACAAAATGGGAGAAAATTTTCGCAACCTACTCATGTGACAAAGGGCTAATATCCAGAATCTACAATGAACTCAAACAAATTTACAAGAAAAAAACAAACAACCCCATCAAAAAGTGGGCGAAGGACATGAACAGACACTTCTCAAAAGAAGACATTTATGCAGCCAAAAAACACATGAAAAAATGCTCATCATCACTGTCCATCAGAGAAATGCAAATCAAAACCACAATGAGATACCATCTCACACCAGTTAGAATGGCAATCATTAAATAGGCAGGAAACAACAAGTGCTGGAGAGGATGTGGAGAAATAGGAACACTTTTTTTTTTAAGTTTTGATAGAGACTGGGTCTTGCTATGTTGCCAAGGTTGCTTGTGAACTCCTGGGCTCAAGGAATCCTTTCATTTCAGCCTCTTCAACTGCTGGTATTACAAGCATGAACCACCATGTGGGCTGGAAGATGATTTTTATAATACTGAGATCATATAGATGACAGCACCTGAAAAATAGACAACACCAAGCTTTATGTTAAAAGGTGTGAGGGTATCAATATTGTTGCGGCTATTGGGGAGGAAACCATTAGTAAAACCACTAAGTTAAAGCTCTTGCTTTAAACTTTGGCTTTAATTTAACAAATGTTCTATGGAGTGACAGTATGTATGTAACCATGCTATACCCATTCACAGATGCAGTAGAGGGAAGAATTTCTCAAACACAACTGTTCTAAGACTCAAATTAAACCGTACTGGGTTTGAAAAGAGATAGTCCAGGAATTACCAAATATTTTAGATATCAGATACAAGAGAATGCCAGGTATGCGATGATAATCAGCAATGGTTGTTCACACAATACATCAAATCAGTATTTGAATTAGCTTTTGAATTACAAGGACAAATGGATCAAGTCTAGACTCTTTAGTAGATAAATCTTATTAGGCTGAGATGTGTTTTCCCCTGTTTTTCCCCAAGGAGATTACAAATTTGCAAACCTCAGCTGCTCTCATTTTATACTCTCACCAAGCCAAAAGCTGAAGTTCATCAATCAGTGTGTCTAAGTGTTCACTGGTTATATACCATTTTGTAGTGTCATCTATTTTTCCAACTTCCTAAATCATCACCTTCATTTGATCTTGTTTTTTTCCACTATCACTTCTTTATTGACCATATAAAGAATACAAGTAAGTTCTTATTTTGTTATTGTTCATTTTAGTCTAATTTCATCAAAAGATCACAATCTTTTAATTTCATTTTAATTTCAAAGATTAAATGAAACCTACATAGAAATGAATGTAACATTTGCATTTGCATTATTTTGGCATCAATTTGCTATCCTCCCTCATGCACATAGAGATCATTTCCATGTACGTGATTTCAAATATCCAAGTGCAGCATTAAAAGCAGTTGTAAATTATGGTTCTCATTTTCATGATACAATTACAATATAAACTTCCTCTTGCTGCTGTAACAAATTACCACAAACTTCATATCTTACAATAAAGTGACCGTTAATCCTACAGTTCTGTAGTTCAGAAGCCTTCAATGAAACTCACACGGCTAACATCAAGTCATGGGCAGGGCTGCAGTATGTCTGAGGGCTATGTGGCAGAATCTATTACTTGATTTTTTTTCAGCATCCAGAGGCCACCTTTATTCCTTAGAACATGACCTCATTCTTAGATCCTATTTTTCTTTTTTATTTTTTTTTGAGATGGAGTCTCCTTCTGTCACCCAGGCTGGAGTGCAGTGGCAGGATCTCAGCTTACTGCAACCTCTGCCTCCCGGGTACTAGTGATTCTTCTGCCTCAGCTTCCTGAGAAGCTTGGACTACAGCACTTGTCACCACGCCCAGTTTTTTTTTGTATTTTTAGTAGGGATGGGGTTTGACCATGTTTGCCAGGATGGTCTCAATCTCCTGACCTCGTGATAAACCCACCCCCGCCTCCCAAAGTGATGGGATTAGGCGTGAGCCACCATGCTGGGTCCTCATTCTTGTATCTTAAAAGTCAGTGATGTTGAGTAATTTCTCATGCCACCACCTCCAAGGTTGCCTTTCTCCTGCCTTCTTCTTTCACTTATAATGAAGTTTGTGATTTCATTGATCCCATCGATTTAAGACAATCTCTCTATCATTTTTCCGCAACCTTAATTTCACTTGAAATCTAATTTCACACTGCCGTGCAACCTAACATATTTGTATGTTAGACCCTGGGAATTAGGACATGAAAATTTTTGGGAGGCCATTCTTTGGCCTACAGCAGACATAATCTGTTTACCTGCAGATTAAAGTGTTCTTTATTTCTCTGTCTCCCTCTCTTAATTTTTTAAAATAATATTAATTGTAGTAAAGAGAAAGAAAGAAAAGAAAACAAAGAAAGAAAAAGAAGGAAGGAAATAAGGAAGGAAGGAAATAAAGAAAGAAACAAGAAAGAAAAGAAGGAGGAAATGAGGGAAGGAAGAGAGCGAGGGAGGAAGGGAGAAAGTCAGGAAGGGAGAAAAAGAAAGTGTGAATACAAGAAAGAAAGGAGGAAAGAAAGAAAGAAAGAAAGAGAAAGAAAGAGAGATAGAGACAAGGAAAGGAGGAAGGAAGGATAGAAAGGAGGAAGAGAGAATGGTAAAAAGGAGGAAGGCAAAGAAACAAAGAAAATAAAGAGGCCAAGGAAGGAAGGAAAAAGACAAAAGGAAGGGAGGGAGCAAGGAAGAAAATGAGGGTGGGAGGAAGGGAGAAAAATGGAAAGAAAGCAAGAACGTGAGAAATAAAGAATATGAGTAAAGAAGGAAGAAAAGGGAGGGAGAAAGGAAGGGAGGGAGGAGGGAAGGAAGAATAAGAGGACAGAAAGAAGGAAGAAAGAAGGTAGGAAGGAGAAAAAAAGAAAGAAAAGAAGGAAAGGAAAAGAAAAAAGAAAAGAAAAGGAAGAGGAAAAGAAGAAAGGAAGGAAGAAGGCAAGGGAAGGGAAGAGAAGAGAAAGGAAGATGGAAAGAAGGAAGGAAGAACGCAAATATTAGAAATTCTGGGTTTGTTAGAGAATAGGCCATACTTTTTTTTTTCACTTGAAATGAAAGAGTATCTGCCATTGAAGATTGGATGTCTTGTTGGTGATATTGTTGTTCTTATCTTCCACATGATTACTGAGTTTGTGCCTAGTCTTTCCATTACTAAGACAAAAGTGTTGAAGTCTGCAAATATAATTTCGGATATTTCTAGTTCACCTTTGATTTCTTTCCTGTTTTACCTCATGTATTTGGAGGTTTTGTTGTTAGCTGCATACCCTAATTAGTAGGATGTTTACATTTTCTTGAGAATTGATTACTCTATTATCTATTATCTCTCATCTCTGATACTATTTCTTGTTCCGAACTCTGTTGTGGCTAATATCAATGTTGTCCTTCCACAGCCTTATTTTAGTGTTTCCATGGTATGGTTTTCTCCATATCTTGATGATAACCTATTTATATCTCTATATATTTGGAGCAAGATATAAAATTCAGAATTTATTTTTTAAAGAATTTTCAAGATGTAATTCTTATTTCTTTTTGTTCTATTTCACATTCTCTGAGTTTCCAATATTTGAAGTTTGATTTTCTGTCACTTCTTTTAGAATATTTTTGGCAGTTATTTTGAAAAATATTTCTTTTGCTCCATTATTATTCCCTCTTTTCTTATTGGGATTTCAATCATAACTAGAGTACGTAATTTCATCTCAGTCTTATGCAGGTACCTTTTCTCAGGGTCTCAGGAATGTAGGCTTCTCACACTTCTGTTCTTTTCCTGGCTGTGTTGGTGAGCTCAGTTATATTCCTCCTTCACCTTCAAGAGCAGTTTTGTTTTGTTTTTCCTGTTTTCATACTCCCAGCATCAGGAGTATTCTAAGCGTGGCAGTTTTTGTTGCCTTCCCCTACATATTAAGTGGAATATCTTGGTGTATTTGGACTCTTATAACAAAATAACATAAACCGGGTGACTAAAAAACAACAGATATTTCTTTCTTCACACTTCTTGAGGCTGTAAGATCTCAGGTCAAGATGCTCACAAATTCAGTGTTGATGAGAGCCCATTTCATGGTTCATGGATGGTGCCTTCTTTCTATGTCCTCACATAGTGGAAGGCACACTAGAACTCCATTGAGCTTCTTTTATAAAGGCACTAATCCCATTCATAAGGGCTCGGCCCCCATGACCTGGTCACCTCCCAAGTGTTCTGCTCTCCCTGATCTGTGTCATATACAGACTCTCTTGGATTCCTTACCAATTGCTTGAGAGATTGCAGTGGGTTGGTGGGGAAAAAGTTTTCAATATGATGGATCTTTCTCAACTTCTGCAGCTGTCAGCAGTCTCCCAATCTCACCAGCCCCACTTTGTCCTTAGGAATTTATTGATTATTCCAGCTTTACTTGTCATAGTGGTGTCTATTTGCATCTTTCCTATGTAAGTGCATCTGTCCTCTTTCTCCTTGCAGGTGCAAGTACTCAGGAGTACACTGTTGTTACTAATTACTCAGTATTGGTTGGTACATTGTCAAAGATCAAAGAACATTTTTAAAGATAAAAAAAATTCTTGGAGGTTGTGTAATGAAGGGTTAATTCTGAAGACATGGCTTTCCAAAACCTTGTGCATTCCAAAGGTCTTCAGGACTGGCCCTTGACAAGCTCCTGGGAGATGATAACCTATGAGCCCTTGGTATATGTTGCCTGATGCGAGTCTTTGTATACCTGAAAACGTAGGTCATATCAAATAACTGATGCTAACAACGTGATTTCTTGTGAGCACCTGTTTCTGTATGCCTATGACTTTGTGTAATGCCATATTAATATGACCTCTGTTAGGGCATAGGGAGGTTGGGAACTAAGTAGCTAAGTTCAGTCACAGGACGCTCGATGCATATGTGGTGGAATCCTAATAAAACCCCTGGATTCAAGACTGAGTGAGCTTCCCTAGTTGGCAACAAGTTCACACATGTTATCTCACACCATTGTAAAGAAAATTAGTCAGTGTGAAGTCCCCACTATGAAAGGTCACCTGTAATCTCACATCTGGTTTGTCCTGGACTCAACTTTAAGTGCTTTTATGCTTCTGATTATTTTAATCTGGTTTCTTTCACTGTTAGAAACTATAACCACACAAAAAATCAGCTTTCTTGGGTTATGTGAATCATTAAACCAAAGGGGGACTTGGGGACCCCCAATAAAAAGTATATATATTCTTAAAAAGAAAAAGAAAACTGGCTATAGCAGATATTGCTGATGACTTGTCTTCTATGTCCTGGACTCAATGTGTTCACCTGAAATTCACCTGTTTCCAGCTAACTGAGAGCTCCCCACATCATGCCTGTCTTTCTGATTTTCGGGCCTGCCTGTAAGCTTCTTGAGGCTAACCAGTGCTTCTCAACCACACATAGGAACAAAGAATGCGTTAGGGGTGCAGAGTTAATGATTATAAGGCAATCCTTAAGCAATAAGAGATGGGAATTCCAGCATCCTCATCTCTTTGTAAAGTTATTTTGACACAATCTCCATACCTCCATCATTACTGAGCACATAGCAGTAACTACTCATTCACACTGGCTTCGTGTTCTGTTTCATTTTCTCCACTTCTGTGCTTTCTCACTCAATTTCTGATTAAAGTATCTGACCCCAGATATTTGTTTCATAGTCTATTTTTGAGGGAATCCAGAGCCAAGACAATAACAATGGGAGCTTTGCAATGAGGGTGGGTGAGTATAATCATCAGAAGGTTACATACCTCACTGGGAACATCAAGGCCTGGAGAGCTTGCTGTTTCAATGAGAGAAACATGTGGAATCTCAGTTCAATACATATATATAAGTGCAATAAGACGTGCCCTTTACTTATATCAAAGGAAAGTGCTCTTTACCTCTCTTTGTTGTTGTGTTTTTATCACTATTGCCTACACAAGCAGAATATCATACCCAGGATTTAAAGCCCTCTCTGCAGGATTTTCAAGCTCATGTTTTTATCATAAGTCACTCTGCTTCCATGTGTTTTAAATCTAATCCTCATTCCTCTGCTTTTACACCAGAGAATTCATCACTGACTTATTTTTGACTGACCTCCTTATAGAGCTGTGAAGTACACAATTTCTGCTGTGACCTTGCTCTTAGAGTTCAGTCATATAGCCTCTCACTAGATATCATTTCCTCTTATCTTTCCTAATAATGAATTGTCAGTTAAAACTCAATATTTTTAAGATTGAGCTTACCATCTGCACACACACACACACACACACACATTATTGGTGTATTCTCCTAGCCTTGAAACACTAATGTCACATTGATGTCTGCCTTTTCTCTCTCTGCTACCTCATTCCTCATCCTTAGATTATTCTAAAAGTTTCAATTAGATCAAGTTGGCTAATTATATTTATAAGATCCTCTCTACCCTTCCCAACATTTCGTTTAACAAAATTTAAAAATTTCTGGTGGGAGACTGTTGAAATCCCCATGGATGACTATGGTTTTACTATTTTACCTTTCAATTTTAATAGTTTTTATATTATGTATTTTGAAGTAATGCTATTGTGTGCATACATATTACTTATTTACATGATTTCTTGGTATATTTTCCCCTTTGTCATTTTGAAATGTTATTCTTCATCCCCAGTGATATTTCCTGTTCTGATGTCTACTTTGCTCATCACATTTTTAGTGGGTTTTGGTTTGTTTGTTTTTCTACTGTTTGGTTCAAGTAAGTTTCTTATAAATCTGTTCGATTCCATTTTATGATTCCATTCGAGGATTCCACTCGATTCCATTCGATGATGATTCCATTCGAGTCCATTCAATGATTCCATTCGAGTCCATTCGATGATTCCATTTGATTCCATTCGATGATGATTCCATTAGAGTCCATTCGATGATTCCATTCGAATCCGTTTGATGATTCCATTGGATTCCATTCGATGATGGTTCCATTAGAGTCCATTCGATGATTCAATTTGATTCCATTCGATTCCATTCGATGATGATTCCATTAGAGTACATTCGATGATTCCATTCGAGTCCGTTTGATGATTCCATCTGATTCCATTCAATGATGACACAATTCGAGTGCCTTCATTGATTCCATTAAATTCCATTCTATGATGACTGCATTCGTTTCCATTCGATGATGATTCCAACGGATTCCATTCAATTTGTCCATTCGATTACATTCCTTGCAGATTCCATTCAATTCCATTAGATGATGACTCCCCTAAATTCCAGTCGATGATGATTTCATTAAATTCAATTCGATGATGATCCTATTCGATTCTATTCAATGATGACTCTATTCGATTCCGTTAAATAATTTCATTCAATTCCATTCGAAGATTCCATTTGATTCCATTCGATGGTGATTCCATTCATGTACAATCGATTATTCCATTCGATTCCATTCGATGATGATTCCATTTGAGCCCATTCGATGATTCCATTCGATTCCATGCAATGATGATTCAATTGACTCCATTCGATGATTCCATTTGATTCAATTAGATGATGACTGCCTTCGGTTCCATTCGATGATGATTCTAACGGACTCCATTCAAAGACTCCATTCGATTCCATTCATTGATGATTCCATTCGATTCCATTTGATGAAGATTCCTTTTGATTCCATTCGATGATGATTCCATTCGATTACATTTGATAATGTTTCCATTGGATTCCATTCAATGATGATTCCATTGGATTCCATTCGATGATTCCATTTGATTACATTCTATGATGATTCCTTTTGGGTCCATTCAATGATTCGATTCTATTCCATTTCATGATGATTCCATTCGATTATTCAGTTCAACTCCATTTGATGCTTTCTTTCGATTCCACTCAATGTTGTTTCCATTTGAGTCCATTCGATGATTCCATTTGAGTGCATTCCATGATTTCATTCGATTCCATTCGATGATGATTCCATTCAATTCCATTCGATGATTCCGTTTGATTTCATTCAATGATGATTACATTAGATTCCATTCGAGTCCATTCAATGATTCCATTTGAGTCCATTAAATGATTCCATTTGATTCCATTCGATGATGACTCCATTCGAGTCCATTCAATGATGATTCCATTTGATGATTCTGTTGGATTCTATTCTTTGTTTTATTTTGATTCGTTTTGATGATGATTCCATTCAGTTTCATTCAATGATCCCATTCGATCCTATTCGATGATGTTTCCATTCAATTCCTTTTGAAGAAAATTCCATTCAATTCCATTGATGATGATTCCATTTAATTCTATTCGATGCCAATTCTATTCGATTCCATTCGATGATGATTCCATTTGATTCCATTCGATGATTAAATTCAATTCCATTCAATAATGATTCCATTCAAGTCCATTCGATGATTCCATTCAAGTCCATTTGATGATTCCATCTGATTCCATTCAACGAATCCATTCTATTCTGTTCTATGATGATTCCATTCATTTCAATCCGATGATGATTCCATTCGATTCCATTCAATGATTCCATTCGATTCCATTTGATGATGATTCCAATCAATTCCATTTGCTGATTCCATTCGAATCCATTCGATGATGAGTCCATCCATTTCAATTGCATGATAATTCCATTCGTTTCAAGTCAATGCTGTTTCCATTCGATTCCATTCGATGTTGATTCCATTAGTTTCCATTGGATGATGACTCCATTCAAGTCCAATCGATGACGATCACATTCAATTTCATTCCATAATTCTATTCGATTCCATGTGATGTTGATTCCATCTGATACCATTTGATGATTCCATTCAATTCCATTGATGATGATTCCATTCGTTTCCATCTGCTGATGATTCCATTCGATTCCATTCGATGATTATTGCATTTGAGTCCATTCGATGATTCCAATCGATACCATTCGATGATGATTGCATTCGAGTCCATGGATTATTGTATTCCATTCCATTGGATGATTCCATTAAAGTCCATTCAATGATTCTCTTCGATTCCATTCGAAAATTCCATTTGATTCCGTTTGATGTTGATTCCATTCGAGTCCATTCGATGATAATTCCATTCTATTCTATGCGATGATTCCATTGGATTCCTTTTGAAGATGATTCCGTTGGAGACCATTCAATGTTTCCATTCAATTCATTCGATGACGATTCCATTCAATTCTATTTGATGATTCCTTTCGATTTCATTTGATCATGATTCCATTTGAGTCCATTCGAAGATTAGATTCGATTCCATTCGATGATTCTGTACCATTCCATTTGATGATGATTCTGTTCGATTCCATTTGATGATGATTCCATTCGAGTTCATTTGATGATTCCTTTTGATTACATTCTCCAATGATTACATTTGAGTCCGTTCGATGATTCCACTCGATTCCATACAATGATGATTCCGTTCAATTCCATTCGATGATTCCATTCTAATCCATTCAATGACGATTCCATTAGAGTATATTAGATGATTCCATTTGATTCCCTTCAATGATGATTCTATTCTTTCCCATTAGATGATTCCACACTATTCCATTCGATGATGATTCTGTTTGAGTCCATTCGATGATTCCATTCTATGATGACTCCATTCCATTCCATTCATTGGTGATTCCATTCAATTCCATTCATTGATTCCATTACATTCCATTCTACAATGATTACATTCGATTCTATTCGATGATTACACTCGATTCCACTTGACGATGACTCCATTCGATTCCATTCGATGACTCTATTTGATTCTATTCGATGATAATTCCATTCGATTCCATTCGATGATGATTGCATTCAATTACATTCGAAGATTCCATTCGATGATGATTGCATTAAATTACATTCGAAGATTCCATTCGATTCCATTTGATGATGATTCCATTCGATTCCATTTGATTATTCCATTTGATTACATTCGAGGATTCCACTCTATTCCATTCGATGATCATTCCATTCGAGTCCATTCAATGATTCCATTCCAGTCCATTTGATGATTCCATTAGATTCCATTCGATGAAGTTTCCATTTGATTCCATTCAATGATTCCATTTGAGTCCATTTGATTATTCCATTCGAGGCCACTCGATGATCCCATTCGATACCATTCGATGATAATTCCATTGGAGTGCATTCGATGATGATTCCCTTCGATTCCATTGCATTATTCCGTTTGATTCCATTCGATGATTCCCTTAGATTCCTTTCGATGATGATTCCATTTGATTCCATTTGATGATGATTCCATTTGATTCCATTTGATGACGACTCCATTCGATTCCTTTTGATGATGATTCCAATGTATTCCATTCGATTTCTCTATTCAATTCCATTCATTGATGATTCCATTCGGATCCATTATATAATGATTCTGTTAGGTTCCATTCGATGATGATTCCATTCGATTCCATTCGATGATGATTCCTTTCGATTCCATTCAATGATGATTCCATTCGATTCCATTCGATGATTCCACTCAATTACATTCGATGGTGATTCCATTCGTGTCCATTCAATGACTCCATTCGATTTCATTCGATGATGATTCCATTCGAGTTCTTTGAATAATTCCATTCAAGTCCATTTGATGATTCCTTTCAATTCCATTCAATGATGATTCCATTCGACTCCATTCAACGATGATTCTGTGCGATTCCATTCGATGATGACTCCTTTCGGTTCCATTCGATGATGATTCCATTCGGTTCCATTCGATGATGATTCCTTTGGATTCCATTCGATGATGATTCCATTCGACTCCATTTGATGTTGATTCTTTTCGATTCCATTTGATGATGATTCCATTTGATTACATTCGATGATGATTCAATTCGATTCTATATGATGATGATTCCATTCGAGTCCATTCGATGATTCCATTCTAGTCCGTTCAAAGACTCCATTCAATGATTCCATTCGATTCCTTTCGATTATTATTCCATTCGAGTCCATTCAGTGACTCCTTTCGATCCCAATTGAAGATTATTCCATTCGATTACATTTGATGATACCATTCCATACCATTCAATGATGATTCCATTCGGTTACATTTGATGATACCATTCGATACCATTCATTGATGATTCCATTCGAGTGCATTCGATGATACCATTCGATTCCATTTGATGATTCCATTCCATTCTATGATGATTCCATTTGAGTCCATTTGATGATTCCATTGGACTCCATTTGATGATGATTCCATTCTAATATTCCATTCGATTCTATTCGATGATGATTCCATTCGATTTCATTCGATGCCCTGATTCCATTTTACTCCATTCGATGATGATTCCGATGAATTCCATTTGATGATTCCATTCCATTCCATTCGATGATTCATTTGATTCCATTCGATGATTCCATTTGATTCAATTCGATAATGGTTCCATTCAAGTCATTTGATGATTGCTTTTGATTCCATTCGATATTGATTCCAATCAATTCCATTCGATGATTCCATTCGATTCCATTCTATGATTCCATTTGATTCCATTCAATAATGATTGCATTTGAGTCAATTTGATGTTTCCATTTGAGCCCATTTGATAATTCCATTTGAGTCCAATTGATGAGTCCATTCGAGTCCATTTGATCATTCCATTAGAGTCCATTCAATTATGAATCCATTTGGGTCCATTCAATGATTCCATTCGAGTCCATTCGATAATTCCATTTGATTCCATTCGATAATTGCTTTTGATTCAATTTGATTATATTCAGTTTGAGTCAATTTGTTGATGCCATTTGATTCTATTCGATGATGATTCCTTTCGTGTCCATTCAGTGATTCCATTCGTGTCCATTCGATGATTCCATTCAATTTCATTTGATGATGATTCCATTCGTATCCATTCAATGACTCCATTCAAGTCTATTTGATGATTCCTTTCATTTCCATTCGATGATGATTGCATTCGAGTCCATTCAATGATTCCATTCAATTCCACTTGAAGATGATTCCATTCGAGTCCATTTGATGATTCCATTTGATTTCATTTGATGATGATTCCATTCGATTCCATTCGATGATTCCATTCTATTCCATTCGATGATGATTCCATTTGATAACAGTCGATTATTATTCCATTCGATTTCATTCGATGATTCTATTCGATTACAGTCGATGATGATTCAATTACATTCTATTGGATAATTCCTTTTTATTCCATTCGATGATGATTCCATTCGATTCCAAACTATGATTATTCCATTCATTTACACTCGATTATGATTTCATTTGATTTCATTAGATGATTCTGTTTGATTCCATTTGATGATGATACAATTGTATTCCATTGGATGATTCCATTCAATTCCATTCGATGATGGTTCCATTCGATTCCATTCGAGGATGATTCCATTTGATTGCATTCAATGAAGATTTCAATCGTGTCCATTCATAGATTCCATTCGATACCATTCGATGATGATTCCATTCGAGTCCATTAGATGATTCCATTCCATTCCATTCGATGATGATTCCATTCGATGCAATTCGATGATTCCATTTGATCCCATTCGATGATGATTCCATTCAAGTCCATTCGATGATTCCATTAGATTCCATTTGATATTGATTCCATTCGAGTCCATTTGATGATTCCATTCGATTCCTTTTGATGAAGATTCCATTCGAGTCCATTCGAAGATTCCATATAATGATGATTCCACTCGAGTCCATTTGATTATTCTATTCGAGTCCATTCAATTATTCCCTTTTATACCATTCATTGATGATGCTATTCATTGCCATTCGATGATTCCATTTGACTCCACTTGATGATGTTTCCATTAAACTCCAATGGATGATTCCACTTGAGTCCATTCAATGACACCATTCGATTCAATTCGATGATGATTCCATTAGAGTCCATTCGATGATGATTCCATTCGAGTCCATTCAATGATTCCATTCGGTTCCATTTGATGATGATTTCATGGGATTTCATTCGATGAATCCATTTGATTCCTGTTGATGATTCCATTTGATACCATTTGATGATGATTCCATTCGATTCTCTTAACTGTTGATTCCAATAGATTCCATTCGATGGTGATTCTATTCGATTACATTCGATGGTTCCATTCGATTCCTTTCGATGATGATTCCATTCGTTTCCATTCGATGATTCCATTTGATGCCATTCAATGATTATTCCATTTGATTCCATTCAATGATTCCATTCGATTCCATTCGATGATGAGCCATTCAGTTCAATTCCATCATTATTCCATTTGATTCAATTCGATGATATTTCCATTCAATTCCATTCGATGATGATTCCATTAGATTGCTTTCGATGATGATTCCATTCGAGTCCATTTGTTGATGATTCCATTTGACTCCATTAGTTGATGATTACTTTGGATTTCATATGATGCTTCTATTTGATTCCATTCGATGATGATTTCATCTCATTCCATTCGATGATTCCATTTGATTCCATTCAGTGATGATTCCATCAGATAATGATTTCATTTGATTCCATTCGATGATGATTCCATTAGAGTCCATTCGACGATTCCATTCGTGTCCAATTGATGATTCCATTTGATTCCATTCGATGATGTTTCCATTAGTGTACATTCGATGAATCCATTCAATGCCATTTGATGATGACTCCATTCGAGTCAGTTATATGATTCCATATGATTCCATTAGATGATCATGCCATTTGAGTACATTCAATTATTCCATTTGATTCCATTCGATGATGATTCCATTCGAGTCCATTCAGTGATTCCATTTGATTCCATTCGATGATGGTTCCATTCAAGTCCATTCGACGATTACATTCGATTCCATTCAATGAAGATTCCATTTGAGTCCATTCAGTGATTCCATGTGATTCCATTTGATGTTGATTCCATTCGAGCCATTTGATGATTCTATTTGAATCCATTTGATGATTGCTTTTGATTATACTCAATCATGATTTCATTCGAGTCCATTCAATAATTCCATTTGATTCCATTTGATGATGATTCCCTTCAGGTCCATTAGATGATTTCACTCAATTCCATTCCCCAATGATTACTTTCTAGTCCATTAAATGATTCCACTCGATTCCTTATGATGATGACTCCATTTGATTCCATTCGATGATTCAATTCTATTCCATGAGATGATGATTCCATTCGAGAACATTAGATGATTCCATTCAATTCCATTCAATGATGATGCTATTCGTGTCCTTCAGATGATTCCATTTGATTACGTTCAATGATGATTTCATTCTATTCAATCCAATGATGATTCCATTCGTGTCCATTAGATGATTCCATTTGATTCCATTCAATGTTGATTCCATTTTTTTTTCCATTCAGTGATGATTCCATTCGGGTCCGTTAGACGATTCCATTTGATTCCATTCGATGATGATTCCATTATATTCCATTCAATGTTGATTCCATTAGAGTCCATTAGATGATTCCATTCGATTCCATTCTCTGATGATTACTTTTGAGTCCATTCGATAATTCCACTCGATTCCATACGATGATGAATCCATTTGATTCCATTCGATGATTCCATTCTATTCCATTAGATGATGATTCCATTCGAGTACATTAGATGATTCCGTTTGATTCCATTCAATGTTGATGCTATTCGTGTCCATTAGATGATTCCATTCGATTCCATTCGATGATGATTCCATTCGAATCCATTCGATGATTCCATTGGATTCCATTCTCTGATGATTACATTCAAGTCCATTCGATGATTGCACTCGATTTTATATGATGAAGATTCCATTCGATTCCATTTGATGATTCCATTCTATTCCATTAGATGATGATTCCATTCAAGTACATTAGACGATTCCATTAGATTCCATTCAATGTTGATGCTATTCATGTACATTAGATGATTCCATTCTATTCCATTCGATGATGATTCCATTCTATTAAACCCAATGGTGATTCCATTTGGGTCCATTAGATGATTCCATTCGATTCGATTTGATGATGATTCCATTTTTTTCCATTCAGTGATGATTCCATTCGGGTCCATTAGATGATTCCATTTGATTCCATTCGATGATCATTCCATTATTTTCCATTCGATGATGATTCCATTCGAGTCCATTCGATGATTCCATTGGATTCAATTCAATGGTGATTCCATTTGGGTCCATTCGATGATTCCATTCTACTCCATTTAATGATGATTCCATTCAAGTCCATTCAATGATTCTATTTGAGTCCATTCAATAATTGTTTTCAATTCCATTCGATGATGATTCCATTCGATACCATTCTATGATTCCATTCGATGTTGATTCCATTTGATTCCATTCGATGGTTCTATTCGACTCCATTCAATGATGATTCCATTCG
The DNA here is from genome assembly GCF_000001405.40 of Homo sapiens. Lineage (NCBI taxonomy): Eukaryota > Metazoa > Chordata > Mammalia > Primates > Hominidae > Homo > Homo sapiens. The sequence goes on from NC_000007.14 coordinate 62,445,863, forward strand.
ATTCCATTTGATGATTCCATTTGATTACATTTTATGATGATTACATTCTATCCCATTCGATGATTCCATTTGATTCCATTTGATGATGATTCCATTCGAGTCCATTTGGTGATTCCTTTCGATTCTATTTGATGATGATTCCATTCGAGTCCATTCAATGGTGATTCCAGTCGATTCCATTCAATGAGTCTATACGATTCCATTCGATGATGATTGCATTTGATTCCTTTGGATGATTCCACTTGAATCCATTCAAAGATGATACCATTCAATTCCATCCGATAATACCATTCCTTTCCATTCAATGGTTCCAAAGGATTCCATTTGATGATGATTCCATTCGAGTCCATTCGATGATCCTATTCAATTCCATTCGATGATGATTCCATTCGAGTGCATTCAATGATTCCTATCGATTCCACTCCATGATGATTCCATTCAAGTCCATCCGATTACTCTATTCGATTCCATTCTATAATGATTCCGTTCTAGTCCATTTTATGATTCAATTCGAGTCGTTTCGATGATTCCATTCAATTCCATTTGATGATGATTCCATTCGAGTCCATTCGATGCTTCCATTTGATTCCTTTTGATGAGTCTATTCGAGTCCAATTGAAGATTCCATTCAATTCAATTTGATGCTGATTCTGTACAATTCCATTCCATGATGATTCCATGTGATACCATTCAATGATGATTCATTTTGATTCCATTCGATTATGATTCATTTCGAGTTCATTCGATGATTCCACACGTTTCCATTCGATGATGATTCCATTCGAGTCCATTTGATGATTCCATTTGAAACCATTTGATGAGGATTCCATTTGATTCCACTCATTGGTGATTCCATTCAATTACATTCAATGATTCCATTCCATTCCATTCGACAATGATTCCGATAGATTCCATTTGATGATTCCACTTGATTCTATTTGACAATGATTCCATTCGATTCCCTTCATTGGTGATTCCATTCAATTCCATTCAATGATTCCATTTCATTCCATTCAACAATGATTCCATTAGATTCCATTCGATGATTCCACTTGATTCCATTTACAATGATTGCATTCGATTCCATTCGATGATTCCATTCAATTCTATTCGATGATATTTCCATTTGATTCCATTCGACAATGATTGCCTTTGATTCCATTCAATGATTCCATTCGGTTCCATTCGAAGATGATTCCGTTCGATTCAATTTGATGATTCCATTTGATTCCATTGGATGATTCCATTCGATTACATTTGATTATTCCATTCGAGTGCATTTGATGATTCCATTCAAGTCCATTCAATGATTCCATTCATGTACATTTGATGATTCCATTCGATTCCATTCGATGATGATTCCATTATAGACCATTCGATGATTCCATTCGAGTGCATTTGATACTTGCATTCGAGTCCATTCGATGATTTCATTTGATTCCTTTTGATGATTCCATTCGAGTCTGTTTGATCACTCCATTCTAGTCCTTTCGATGATTCCATTTGAAGATGATCACATTCAATTCCATATGACGGTGATTCCATTTGAGTCCATTCAATGATCCCATTTGATCCAATTTGATGATGATTCCATTCAAGTCCAATCAATGATTCCATTCTATTCCATTTGATGATGATTCCTTTCAACTCCATTCAGTGATTCTATTCAGGTCCATTCAGTAATTGCTTTGGATTCCATTTGATGATGATTACATTTGATTCCATTTGATGATGATTAGATTCGATACCTTTCTATGATTCCATTCAATTCCATGCGATGTTGATTCAAGTCAATTCCGTTTGATTATTCTATTCTTTTACATTCGATGATGATTATATTTGATTACATTCAATGTTTCCGGTTGAGTATATTTGATGATGATTCCATTCGATTCCATTCAATGATTCCATTCAATTCCTTTCAATGATGATTCCATTTGATTCCATTCAATGATGATTGCATTTGTGTTCATTCGATTATTCTATTAGATTCCATTCAATGATGATTCCATTCGAGTCCATTAGATGATTCCATTCGATTCCATTCGAGTCCATTAGATGATTCCATTCGATTCCATTCGATGATGATGCCATTCGAATCCCTTCAATGATTCCTCTTGATTCTGTTCGATGACTCCGTTCGATCCCATTCGATGATTCCCTTTGATTCCATTCTATGATCATTCCAATTGATTCAATTCGGTGATTCCATTCGATTGTATTCAATGATGATTCCATTTGACTCCATTCAATGATAATTCCATTCAATTCCATTCGATTATGATTTCATTCCATTCCATTTGATGTTGGTTCCATTCGAGTCCATTCGATGATTCCATTAGATTCCATTTGATGATGATTCCATTCAATGCCATTCGACGATTCCATTCAATACCATTCAATAATGATTCCATTCAATTCCATTTGATGATGATTCCATTTGAGCCCATTCAGTGATTCCATTCAATTCCATTCTATGATGATTCCCTTCTAATCCATTTGATGATTCCATGCGATTCCATTCGATGATGACTGCATTTGGTTCCATCTGATGATGATTCTAACGGATTTCATTCGATTTCTCCATTTGATTCCATTCGTTGATGATTCCATTCTTTTCCATTTGATGATGATTTCATTATATTACATTCGATGATGATTCCATTCGATTCCATTCAGTGACGATTCCATTCGATTCCATTCAATGATGATTCCATTGGATTCCATTCGATGATTCCATTCAATTCCATTCAATGGTGATTCCATTCTGGTCCATTCAAAGATTCCATTAGATTCCATTTGATGATTCCATTAGATTCCATTCGATTGTGATTCCATTCGGGTCAATTCAAAGATTCCATTTGATTCCATTTGATGATGATTCCATGCGAGTACATTCAATGATTCCATCCAAGTCTATTCAAAGATTACTTTCAATTCCATTCGATGATTTCATTTGAGTCCATTCGATGATTCCATTGAAGTCAATTTGACGTTTCCTTTTGATTCCACTCGATGTTGATTCCATTAGAGTCCATTCAATTATTCCATTCGACTGCATTCCATGATTTCATTCGACTCCATTTGATGATATTTCCATTCCAGTCCATTCGATGGTTCCTTTTGATTTCATTCAGTGATGATTCCATTCGATTCCATTCGATGATTCCATTCAAGTGCATTCAATGATTACATTCGAGTCCATTAAATGATTCCATTCGTTTCCATTCAATGATACCGTTGCATTCCAATCTTTGTTTTATTTCGATTCGTTTGGGTGATGATTCCAATCGATTTCATTGGATGATCCCATTCGATTCTATTGGATGATGATTCCATTCGATTCCATTTGATGAAGATGCCATTCGTTGATGATACCATTCAATTCTATTCAATGAGGATTCTATTCTATTCCATTCAATGATGATTCCATCCAATTCCATTTGATGATGATTCCTTTCGAGACCATTTGATGATTCCATTCACTTCATTCAATGATGATTCCATTCAATTCCATTAGATGATTCCATTAGAATCTATTTGATGATGAATACATTTGATTCCATTCGATGATGATTCCATGCGATTCCATTGGATGATGGCTCCTTTCATTTCCATTTGATGATTATTCCTTTTGACTCCATTTGATGTTGATTCTTTCGATTCCGTTTGATGATGTTTCCATTTGATTCCATTCGAAGATGATTCCAATCGATTTCATTAGATGATTCAATTCGATTTCATTCGATGATGATTCCATTTGACTCCATTCGATGATTCCATTCAATTCCAGTTGATGATGATTCCATTTGATTCCATTCCATGTTTCCATTGGATTACATTTGATGATGATTCCATTCCATTCCATTCAATGATTCCATTCGGTTCCATTAGATGATGATTCCATTCGAGTCCATTCAGTGATTCCATTCGATTCCATTTGATGATAATTCCATTCAAGTCCATTTGATGATTATATTCGATACTATTCGATAATGATTCCACACAAGTCCATTCGATGATTGCTTTTGAGTCTGTTTGAAGATTCCATTCGATACCATTCGATGATTTTTCCGTTCGAGTCCATTTGATAATTCCATCTGATTCGATTCGATGATGTCTGCATTCGTTTCCATTTGATGATGATTCTAACGGATTCCATTGGATGACTCCATTCAAGTCAATTCATTGATGTTTCCATTCTATTCCATTCGGTTATGATTCCATTCAATTCCATTCGATGATGATTCCATTCGATTTCATTTGATGATGATTCCATTCAATTCCATTCAATGATAATTCCATTCAATTCCATTCTATGATTCCATTCGATTCCATTCAATGATGATTCCATTTGATTCCATTTGATGATTCCATTTGATTCCATTCGATGATGATTCCATTCGATTCCATTCTATCATCCCATTCGATTCCATTCAATGATGATTCCATTCAATTCCATTTGATGATTCCATTTTATTCCATTCAATTATGATTCCATTCGAATCCATTCGATGATTCCATTCAATTCTATTTGATGAAGATTCCATTAGAGTCCATTTGATGATTCCATTCAAGTGCATTCGATGATTCCTTTTTATTCCACTCAATGTTGATTTCATTCGAGTCCATTCGATGATTCCATTCGAGTGCATTCCATTATTCCATTCAATTCCATTCGATGATGTTTCCATTCGAGTCCATTAGATGATTCCATTTGATTTTATTCGATGATGATTCCATTTGATTCTGTTAGATGATTCCATTCGAGTCCTTTCAAAGATGATTCCATTCAATTGCATTCGATGATGATTCCATTCCATTTCAATCAATGATTCTATTCGATTCCATTCAATGAAGATTCAATTCTATTCCATTCAATGATTCCATTTGATTGCATTTGATGATGATTTTATTCGTGTCTATTCGAAGATTCCATTTGTTTACATTCCATAACGATACAATTTGTGTCCATTCAATGATTCCGTTCAACTCCATTTGAGGATGATTCTATTAAAATCTATTCGATGTTTCCCATCTATTCCGTTCGATGATGATTCCATTCATCTCCATTCGATGATTCCATTCGAGTCCATTCGATAATGCCATTAGATTCTTTTTGATGATGATTCCATTCTATGCCATTTGATGATTCCATTCGATTCCATTCAATGATGATTGCATTCGTGTCCATTCAATTATTCCATTCGATTCCATTCGATGATGATTCCATTCTAGTCTATTTGATGATTCCATTCGATTCCATTCAATGTTGATTCCATCCGAGTCCTTTCAATGATTCCATTCGATTCCATTCTCCCATGATTTCTTTTGAGCCCATTCAATGCTTCCACTCGATTCCATATGATGATGACTCCATTCGATTATATTTGATGATGATTCCATTTGATTGCATTTGATGATGATTCCACTGGGGCCCATTCGAAGATTCCTTTCGATTACATTCCATGACGATTCCGTTCAAGTCCATTCAATGATTCCATTTGACTCCATTCGACGATGATTCCATTCGATGCTATTCGATGATTCCATTCGATTTCATTTGATGATGATTCCATTCAACTCCATTCGATGATTCCATTCGAGTTCATTCGATTATTCCATTAGATTCCATTCGATGATGATTCCATTCGATACCACTCAATGATTCCATTCGATTCCATTTGATCATGATTCCATTCGAGTCCATTCGATAATGACTGAATTCAATTCCATTTGATGATTCCATCTGATTCCATTCAATGAAGATTCTGATCAATTCCATTCGATGATTCCTTTTGATTCCATTCTATGATTCCATTTAATTCCATTTTATAATTATTCCATTTGAGTCCATTCGATTATTCCATTTGAGCCCATTCCATAATTCCATTTAAGTCCAATCCTTGATTCCATTCGAGTCCATTTGATCATTCCATTTGAGTACATTCGATAATGATTCCATTCGAGTCCATTCAGTGATTCCACTCGAGTCCATTCAATAATTCCTTTCCAGTCCATTCGATGATGGCTTTTGATTCCATTCCATGATATTCCATTTGAGTCCATTCAATCATTCCATTCGATTCTATTCAATGATGATTCCATTTGTTTTGATTCGGTGATTCCATTCGATTTCATTCGATGATGATTCCTTTCAAGTTCATTAGATGATTCCATTCGATTTCATTTGATGATGATTCCATTCGAGTCCATTCAGTGATTCCATTTGATTCAATTCGATGATGATTCCTTTCCATTCCATTCCATTCATTGATTCCATTTGATTCCGTTTGATGATGATTTCATTCGAGTCCATTCGATGATTCCATTTGATTCCATTTGATGATGATTCCATTCGAGTCCATTCGATGATTCTATTCGAATCCATTTGATGATTGCTTTTGATTATATTCAGTGATGATTCCATTCGAGTCCATTCAATGATTCCATTCGATTGCATTCGATGATGATTCCATTCGAGTCCATTTGATGATTCCATTTGATTCCATTCTCCGATGATTACATTAGAATCCATTCAATGATTCCACTCGATTCCATACAATGATTATTCTGTTCGATTCCATTCGATGATTCCATTCTATTCCATTCAATCATGATTCCATTCGAGTACATTAGATGATTCCATTCGATTCCATTCGATGGTTATTCTATTCATGTGCATTAGATGATTCCACACAATTCCATTCAATGATGATCCTATTCGAGTCCATTCAATGATTCCCTTCGAATCCATTCGATGATGATTCCATTCGATTCAATTAATTGGTGATTCCATTTGATTCAATTCATTGGTGATTCCATTCAATTCCATTATTTGATTCCATTCCATTCGACAATGATTCCATTCGATTTCTTTCGATGATTCCACTAGATTCCACTTGAGAATGATTCCATTTGATTCCATTTGATTCCAGTCAATGATGATTGCCTTCGATTCCATTCGATCGTTCTATTCAATTCTGTTTGATGATTCCTTTCGATACCATTTGATGATTCCATCTGATTCTATTCGAGGATTCCATTCGATTCCATTCGATGATGATTCCATTTTATTCCATTCGTTGATGATTCCATTTGTTTCCATTCGATGAATCCATTCAATTCCATTCAATGATGATTCCTTTCGTGTTCATTTATTATTCCATTCCATTCCATTCGATGATTCCATTCGAGTCCATTTGATGATTCTATTCGATTCCATTCAATAATTCCTTTTGATTCCATTTGATGATGATTCCATTTGAGTCCATTCGATGTTTATTCCATTCGACTCTATTCGGTGAATACTTTCGATTCCATTTGAAAATAATTACATTTGAGACCATTCGATGATTCCATTCAATTCATTCGATGATGATTCCATTCAATTCAATTCGATGATTCCACTAGATTCCATTTGATGATTATTCCCTTTGATTTCATTTGATGATGGTTCCATGCAATTCCATTCGATAATGACTCCTTTCGGTTCCATTAGATGACAATTCCTTTCAGTTCTGTTCGATGATGATTCCTTTGGATTCCATTCGATCATGATTCCATTCCACTACATTTGATGTTAATTAATTTTGATTCCATTCGATGATGATTCCATCTGATTCCATTTGATGATGATTCCATTTGATTCCATTCAATGATGATTCCATTTGATTACATTCAATGATGATTCCATTCAATTCCATTCGATGATTGCATTTGATTCCATATGATGATGATTCCATTCTAGTCAATTCGATGATTCCATTCTAGTCCATTCACTGATGATTCCATTTGATTCCATTCGATGATTCCATTTGATTTCTTTCAATGGTTATTCCATTCGAGTCCATTAGGTGATTCCTTTCGATGCCAATTGAAGATTATTCCATTCGATTCCATTCGATGGTACCTTTCGATACCATTCATTGATGATTCCATTAGAGTGCATTCGATGATACCATTTGGTTCCATTTGATGATAATTCCATTCAATTCCATTCGATGATTCCATTCAATTCCATTCTATGATGATTCCATTCGAGTCCATTTGATGATTCTGTTGGACTCCATTTGATGATGATTCCATTCTATGATTCCATTCGATTGTATTATATGATGATTCCATTCGATTTCATTTGATGCTGATTCCATTCAATTCCATTCGATCATTCCATTTGATTCCATTCAATGATTCCATTCGATTACATTCGACGATGATTCCATTCGCTTCTGTTCAATGATTCCATTCGATTCTATTCGAAGATGATTCCACTCGATTCCATTCGATGATGACTGCATTCAATTCCATTTGATGACTCCATTTGATTCTGTTCGATGATGATTCTGACCAATTGCATTTGATGAGTCCATTCGATTCCATTTGATGATTCCATTTGATTCCATTCAATAATGATTCCATTCAAGTAAATTCAATGATTCCATTCGAGGATATTCAATAATTCCATTTGAGTCTAATTGATGATTCCATTCGAGACCATTCGATCATTCCATTTGAGTCCATTCGATAATGATTCCATTTGAGTCCATTCGATAATTCCATTGGAGTCCATTCGATGTTTGCTTTTCATTCCATTTGATGATATTCCATTTGAGTCCATTCGATAATTCCATTCAATGCTATTAGATGATGATTCCATTCGTGTCCATTTGGTGATTCCATTCACTTTCATTCGATGATTATTCCACTTGAGTCCATTCAATTATTCCATTCAAGTCCATTTGATGATTCCTTTCAATTCCATTCGATGATGATTCCATTCGAGTCCATTCAATGATTCCATTCAAGTCCATTTGATGATTCCATTCAATTCCATTCGATGATTATTCCATTCGAGTCCATTTGATGATTCCATTTGATTTCATTCGATGATGATTCCATTCGATTCCATTCGATGATTCCATTCTATTCCATTCGATGATGATTCCATTCAAGTCCATTCGATGATTCCACTCGAGTCCATTTAATGAATACTTTGGGTTCAATTAGATGATGATTACATTGGATTCCATTCTATGATTCCATTCGATTCCGTTCATTCATGATTTGATTCCATTCAATGATGATTCCATTTGATTTCATTCGATGATTTTATTCGATTCCATTCAATGGTGATTCAATACTATTATATTGTATGATTCCATTCGATTCCATTCGATGATGATTCCTTTCGATTCCATTCGATGATGATTCCATCCTCTTTCATTGAATGATTCCATTTTATTCCATTCGATGATGACTCCATTCGATTCCATTCAATGATGATTCCGTTCGATTCCATTCGATGGTGAGCAATTCAAATCAATTCCATCATTATTCTAATTGATTCAATTAGATGATGTTTCCATTCGATTCCATTCAATGATGATTTCATTGGAATCCATTCGACGATGATTCCATTCGAGTCCATTCTATGATGATTCCATACGAGTCCGTTTGATGATGATTCCATTCCATTTCATTAGATGCTTCTATTCAATTCCATTCGATGACGATTCCGTCTGATTCCATTCTATGATTCCATTCAATTCCATTCGATGCTTCTATTGGATTTCATTCCATGATGATTCCATTCGATTCCATTCGATAATTTCATATGATTCCATTCGATGATGATTCCATACGAGTCCATTCGATGATTACATTCAAGTCCCTTCATAGATTCCTCCAATTCCATTTGATGATGATTACATTCGAGTCCTTTCGAAGATTCCATTCGATTCCATTCTATGATTCCATTCGTGTCCATTCGATTAATCCATTCGGGTCCATTCGATGATTCCATTCGTTTCCGTTCAGTGATGATTCCATTCGATTCCATCTGATGATGATTTCATTTGATTCCATTCGATGATGATTCCATTCGAGTCCATTCAATGATTCAATTCGATTCCATTCGATGCTGATTCCATTCAAATCCATTCGATTATTCCATTCAAATCCCTTCATTGATTCCATCTGATTCCATTTGATGATGATTCCATTCGAGTCCAATCTATGAATCCATTCAGTTCCATTCAATGATTCCATTCGAGTCCATTTGACTATTCCATTAGTATCCATTTGATGATTCCATTCAATTCCATTCAATGATGATTCCATTTGATTCCATTTGATGATTCTGTTCGATTCCTTTCAATGATTCCCTATGATTCCTTTCTGTGATGATTGCTTTCGATTCCATTCGTTGATGATTCCATTCGATTCCATTCGATGATGATTCCTTTTGATTCCCTTTGTTGATGATTCCATTAGATTCCATTTGATGATAATTCCTTTCGACTCCATTCCAAGATGATTCCATTCGATTCCATTCAATGATTCCTTTCGATTCCATTTGATGATGAGCCATTCGTTTCAATTCCATGATGATTCCATTTGATTCAATTCGAAGATGTTTCTATTCGATTCCATTTGATGATGATTCCACTAAATTCCATTTGACTATGTTTCCATTCGAGTCCATTCAATGATGATTCCATTTGATTCCGTTCAATTATGATTCCATTCAATTTCATTCAATGCTTCTATGTGATTCCATTCGGTGATGATTCCATCTCATTCCGTTAGATGATTCCATTCAATTCCATTCAGTGATGATTTCATGTGATTCCATCTGATGATGATATCATTTGATTCCTTTCGATGATGATTCCATTCGAGTCCATTCAATGATTCCATTGGAGTCCAATCGATCATTCCATTCGATTCCATTTGATGATGATTCCATTCAAGTCCATTCGATGATTCCATTCGATTTCATTTCATGATGATTCCACTCGAGTCCATTTGATGATTCCATTCAATGTCATTTGATGATGACCGCATTCGAGTAAATTCGATGATACCATTCGATTCCATTCAATGATGATTCCATGAAGTACATTTGTTGAATTC